>NC_000004.12:115285017-115436532 GCF_000001405.40 Homo sapiens
ATTTAGTTATGCTATTCATTTTCTGTCTTTCCTAGCTAGACCATAATTCTCATGAGGGCAGTAATTTTTGTGTTTTATTTACTAAAACTATTGCACACAGTAACTTCTTAATAAATATTTCTTAAATATTGTTCAGCAAATACATTTAACTTTAAGGATGGAGTTAAATCCTACATTGTATGTGATATTTTCTTAGTATTATTAAACAGAGATTTAAAGAAATTGAAGTTGAATAGAATTTTGAGATAATAACTAAATTAGTCTGCTTTTTTTTTTTTTACTTAATAGACACATTTTAAAAATCATAATAACAAATAATGGTGTAGAATACCAGTGCTTTCAATTGCAGAATCTGCCTCTGTAGAAAAAAGGCTGTTTTGACATTTTATAATCATAGCAAACATATTAAAACCAAATAGCTTATGTCAAACACAGAAGTTGAAGAATACACATATTTATAAGTGAATTTATTCCTGAATGAAATTCAATTTTTCATAAGCTGCAATAAATACTAGAGAGTAAGAGAATAGAACTGGAGTTGGGATAATGGCTAGGTGCTGAAAAAAGATCTTGTTCCCTCAACCTGCAATGGGCAACAGATCAGTTTTATGGGAATCTGAGAATGATGTCCCTTGCCTTTGGTTTTCAGGCATTTAAACTCAAGAAGCATGACCTGGAGCAGGGTACTAGAGTGGCATAAATCCTGGAATCAATATGGGGAAAGAAAACTTGCTGGATTACTCAATGCTCTAGAAAAAATGCCGTGGCTTTGTGAGCCATGAAATTGTATACAACATAACGATAAGGGATATTTGCTTTTACTTCTGCAGGAACATTTTACTCTTTATATACCATGATAATTAGATCTGTAGTTATGTGTCTAGTTAATTATTTTGACCCAAGAAGGCCAAATGGTTACACATTGAGCTAGGTCATTAGGTTAAGACACAGGTGCTGGAAACAGAAGAATTTCCGGGTTTAAAAGCCTCAGATATCTGGGATTTATTTGAGCACTGAAAAATTGTATTTACATTTCAAAATGTTAGGCTGAGAACCTAGGTTCTTTTCCATTAATCACAAAGAAGCACATTATTTTTAATTTCTTTTGAAGGATGAGGAGTTAGTTACCTTCTTGTCTCCTTTGTGTAAACAGAGTAGACATATTGCTCTTTATCCATTATCTGCAGACTCACCCAAGGCTGATATCCAGAATAGTATTTCTTAGGTTTTCTTCTATGATTTTTATACTAGGAAGTCTTCCATTTTAGTTTCTAACACATCATGAATTAATTTTTGAACATAGTGAATAGTAGAGGTCCACTTTCATTCTTCTGCACGTGGCTAATCAGCTATCCCAGCATCATTTATCGAATAAGAAATATTTTACCCATTGCTTATTCTGCTCAATATTGTTGAAGATCAGATGGTTTTAGGCATGTGGCTTTATATCTGGGTTCTCTATTCTGTTCCATTGGTCTATGTGTCTGTTTTTGTACCAGTACCATACTGTTTTAATTAATCTAGACTTATACTATAGTTTGAAGTCAGGTCATGTGATGTCTTCGACTTTGTTCTTTCTGCTGAGAGTCATTTTGACAATTCAGGCTCTTTTTCATTTTCATATGAATTTTAGAATAGTTATTTCTAATGCTGTGAAAATTGATATTGGTAGTTTGATAGGAATATCACTGAATCATCCATGATTTCTTTCAGCAGTGTTCTGTAGTTCTCTTTGTAAAGGTCTTTCACCACTTTGGTCAGATATATTTCTAGTTATTTTATTTTTCTGTGGCTATTATAAATGGGGTTGCATCTTGATTTGATTCTCAGCTTCAATAATATTGGTGAACAGAAATGCTATTGATTTGTGCAGATTTATTCTGTTTTCTGAAACTTTACCAAAGTGATTTATTAGGTCTAGGAGCCCTTTGTTTGAGTCTTTAGGATTTTCTACGTATAGGTTCGTATCACCAGCAAAGAGAGATAATTTGACTTCTTTTTCTATTTGAATGCCTTTTATTTCTTTCTCTAATCAGAGCAATCAAGCAAGAGTACTTAGGACTTTTGGTACTATATTGAATAGGAGTGGTGAAGGTAATTATCCTTGTCTTGTTCCTGATCTTAAGGGGAGTACTTCCAGCTTTTGCCTATTCTTGTGATGTTGGCTATGGGTTTGTCATAGATGGGTCTTATTATTTTGAGGTATGTTCCTTCAATGCCTAGTTTGTTGAAGGTTTTTTTTTTATCACAATGGAATGTTGAATTTTATCAAAAGTTTTTTTTGTGTGTGTCTATTGAGATAATCATGTGGCTTTTGTTTCTAATTCTGTTTATGCGGTGAATCACAGTTTTTGATTTGTGTATGTTGAAACAGTGTTGAATCCTAGGAATAAAGCCTACTTGATCATGGTAGATTAATTTATTGATGTGCTGCTGGATTTGGTTTCCTAGTATTTTGTTGAGGATTTATGTGTTTATGTTAATGAGAGACTTGGCCTGTAGTTTTCTTTTTTGTTGTATCTTTGCCAGATTTGGTACCAGGATTGATGCTTCCTCTGTAGAATGAGTTAAGGAGGAGTTCTTCCTCCCTGATTTTTTGAAACAGTTTCAGTGGAATTGGCACCGATTCTTCTTTGCATGTCTGGTAGAATTCAGCTCTGAATCTGTCTGGTCCAGGGCTTTTTTTGGTTGGAGGCTTTTTATCACTAATTGAATTTTAGAGCTCAATATTGGTCTATTCATGCTTTTGATTTCTTCCTGATTCAATCTTGGAAGATTGTGTATTTCCAGGAATTTATCCATTTTCCCTAGATTCTAGTTTATATGCCCAGAGGTGTCCATGGTAGTGACTGAGGCTCTTATGCATGTCTGTGTGATCAGATGTAATGTCACATGTCACTTTTGTCATTTGTAATTGTGCTTATTTAGACTGTCTCTTTTTATTTGTTAATACAGCTAAAGTTCTATCAATATTTTTATTCTTTCAAATTACCAACTTCATTTCATTGATCCTTTGTATGAATTTTTATCTCAATTTATTTAGTTCCTTTCTGATTTTAGTAATTTCCTTTCTTTGGCTAGCTTTGGATTTGGTTTGTTCTTTTTCTAGTTCCTCTAGGTGCAATGTTAGATTGTTAATTTGGGATCTTCTAACTTCTTGATATAGGCATTTAGCACTGTAAACTCTCCCCTTAACATTTTTTTTGCTACTTTCCAGAGATTTTGGTATGTTGTGTCTCTGTTTTCATTTATCTCAAAGAATTTTGTGATCTCTGTTTTAATTTTATTTACCCGAAAGTCATTCAGGAGCTAATTGTTTAGTTTCCACGTAATTGTGTAGTTTTGAGAGATCCTCCTGGTATTGATTTCTCTTTTTATTTCACTTTGGCACAAGAATATAGTTAGTATGATTTTGATTTTTTAAAATTAATTGAGACTTGCTTTATGGGTGAGCATGTGGTCAATCTCTTTGAGCTTCCTTGCCATCTAGGTTCTAAATTCTGTATCTGTCATTTCAGTTGCCTCAATCTGTTTGCAATTTATTACAGAGGAGCTAGTGGGAGCCTTTGAAGGTAAGAAATCATCCTGGGTTTTTGAATTGCTGAAGTTCTTATTCTGATTTCATGTGAGGGGACTGGTGTATATTTTCTTTTCCTTTTTAAAAAATATTGCCGTCATTCAGATGGGGCTTTTTGTTTTTATAGTCTCTTTGTGCCTTGAGGATTTTACTGTGGTATATGTTGTATATGGTCAATCGGCCTCATTTCTGGGTGCTTTCAGGGGGCCAAGGCTCTCTATGGGTTCCTTATTTGAGGAATGTTTCCTGCATTGGGTTTCACAAACATTGCATGCTGAAGGCATTTTTGTTTTGTGGTGTAATTCAGGTTGAGATACAAGATGACACTTAAGAGTAAAGGCTGGAAGATACCTCTTGCTCAGCTAAGTACCTGCTTTGTATTTCAGTGCACGTGCAATAGTGCATGCTTCCCTAGAATGCATTCAAGACCAGGAGCTGGTCCTGGCATTCAGTGACACTGAAGGCTTCTTAGCTTCCTCTGTCTTCAGTTGAAGTCAGAAAATAATATTGATATTTATTTCAAAAGCATTATATTTTGTAAAAGAAAAATTGAGGTTTTTATTTTCTATGCTTTGTATTTAGCATGCTATTTTATCTCTACTAATCCTTTAAAAATCTGCAGATTTAGCATGTATGCATGTATAAAAATCTTTTTCTAAAGCATTTCATCTACTTTTTAAACCTTGGTTAAGTTTTATTCTACTTTTTTTTTTTAAATGTGTTAGCTATATTTTATTCAACAAATATCCATTAAGTGTCTACTAGGAGACATATGCTTTTCTAGGGATCTGGGAATACAGGAGAATAAAAGGAAAAGTTTACATTATATTGGGAGGGAGATAGACAAAAAACACAATTATATAATATTTTAAGAGGTATTACAATGAAAGGGACAAATAAAATAAAGGGGCAAAGTGAATATATACTGTATGGTGAGGCAATTTTAAATAGAAGAGTCACTGAGATGGCAATACCTGAGCAAAGACTTGGAAGAGGTGAGGAAGTACACTGTGATGGCTTATTTTATATGTATCTTGACTCAGCCAGGAGATGCCCAGATAGCTGGTAAAACGTTATTTCTCTGTGTGTGTGTGTGTGTGTGTGTGTGTGAGAGAGAGAGAGAGAGTGTGTGTGCGTGTGTGTGTGCGTGCACGCATGTGTTCATCTGCAGGGGTGTTTCTAGAAAAGATTAACATTTGAATCTGTAGAGTGGCGAAGATCACCCTCACCAATATAAGTAGGCATAATCCAATCAGTTGAGGGTCCAAATAAAAATGTGGAGAAAGTGTGAATTTACTATCTTTTTGCGCTGGAACATTCATCTTCTCCTGCCCTTGGATATCAGTATTCCTCTTTCGCAAGTCTTTAAAATTGGATTCGGACTTGCACTCTCTGCTCCCTGGTCCTCAAGCTTTTGAACTCAGCCAAAGTCACACTACAGACTTTCGTGTTTATCCAACATGCAGAAGGTGGACTGTTGGACTTCTTGGCCTTCATAACTGTGTAACTGTATGAGCCATTTCCCATAATAAGTCTTTTCTTACAGGTATATCCTATTGGTTCTCTGGAGAAACCTATCTAATACATATATGAGACAAATGCTTCTCAGTAGAGACAAACAGAAGAGCAAACACCCCAGAACAAATTATGCCTTGTTGATTCCTGGAGCAGACAATATGGTGGGAGAAGAATAATCTTGGGGATGAGAGTGGTGTTGGGGATAAGGTCAAGGAGTTCAGGGTTAGGGAGGCACAGAACATGCGGGACATAGTGAGGCATGTTATAGGTGTTAACTTTTAACTTGAGTAGTATGTGGGTAAATTGTAGGTTTTAATACAGGAAAGTATCATGATCTTATTTTTATTAAAAAAAAAAAAACTTCTGGTGGCTAATTTGAGAACAGCTTGATTCCCAAAAAGCAGGAACAGGGGACCCTTTTTTTTTTTATAGTATTGCAGCAATCTAGGTGAGAAATGATAATGGTTTAGACCAAAGTAGTGATAAGAAAGGCTGAATATGTTTTAAATGTCCAGTCAATAGAATTTGATGCTGGAACAGATTGGTCTAGGAAATAAAAATTAGAGTAAAAGAATTAGACTTAGGAGACTGGAAAGGTGAAGTTAATTGTTGTTGTTTCTCAAAGTCAATTAGTAAAACAAGAAACTACTTAAAGAATTACAAATGTTCATACTTTAAGATAATTCATTTTTTTAGAAACACTAAAATATTATTTTTTCAGTGAAGAAAACAGTAGGAGATTCAACGGAGTGAATTGTTGCTTCTTATCAAGGACTAAGATTCTTTTGGAAACACCTAGATCAGTTTGTGTCTGAACTATTTTGAGAAACATTTACTTTACATAAACGTCACTATATAGGATTTCTTCAACATTTCTAATATTAAGTAATTTTACACTAAAAATAATGGTGTTAAGATAATTCTGTCATACAGAATGGACTTTAGATTAAGGTTATGTAGCAATTTTTGAACACTAACTAACATTTAACCTTTTTGGCTTAACTTTTTTTCTGGGTCAAAATACTGCCACACAATTCATTATTCTATCACATAAGTAACCAGAATAAATTGAATTTTAGTTTCCAGTCTTATTTTATAAAAACCATCAATAATCTTTATCATAGACTTTCACTAGAACTAGTTATATCTAATAAAATTAAGTTGTTAATGTATACTCATCTCATTTTCTATAGATATTGAAATTTTGATGGCTATAGAAATGAAATACTAAAATAAAAAAAAGTATAGAGAAGTCATTAGCTGGGTAATTAGCTCCTGAATAGTTAATACTTAGCTGTAAGGTAATTTAAAATAAAATGTGAAAAGAAAGATTTAATATGTATTTACTGGTCTTAGAAATAGAAATGATGGTAACTTATGCCATTGGCATAGACAATCTTATAGCCCAGTAACCTCCTTTATGATATTACAAGTTTAAAGGAATTGCTTGCTAAATGATATTTTTCTGAGATAATTTTCTAATTGTCCAATCTCAATTAATACTTAATTTTCAAGGCCAGCAAATTCATGACAAATTTATTTTTTGAACAAAGCATCACACCAAATAATGAAGCCAAAACTGATTTTTTTTTCAACTGTATTAAGTGTAAGGAAATCCAAATAGCACAGTGATCACTGTACATTTGTATGTTAATGTTGTCAGGTAAGCATCTTGAAAGACTGGGAATGATTAACGTGTTTGAGCATAAACCAGAGAAAATGTTCAACATTTGATAGAGACAGAAACATTTAGGAAAATGCAAAAACATCTGCCTAGGAAACTGTTTTCCGAACATTGAAAATTATAAGCAATTATCAAGAATTTTACCTGCATATACTCATAACTCTGACTTAGTGACAGCTTAACTGGTATTAAGCTTCAATTTTAGCACGAAGATTTTGGGATAATCACCATGTGCCTATAATTTACACTGCTTCTTTATACATGCTAAAAACATTTCAGCAATATATTTTTAAGAGGGTAATTAGATTGTAGTATAAAACTGATTTCATTTTTTAAAACGAGTGAAAAGAAATTTGGTGTTACTGTGCTTACCTAAAAGTTTGAGAACATATTTTTTCTCATTTATAATTTCATTCTTTTACAAAATAACACGAAGACAATCACTTCTTAGAGTGTACATTTTAATTGCACATGTGTGAAATAGTTAATAATACATAGAATCATGCCCCCATTTGACTGAAAATATACAATCCCTGTAGTTCCACAGTTAAAACCAAGAGGCCAGGGCAGGGAGAGGAAGTGGTCATGCATGCTGTGTCCCTGGAAAGCGTGACAAAACATGTTATACTGTGACCAAGTTAAAGAAGAGTTTCTGAGAAAAAAAAAAAAAAAAAAAAGGTTAGATGAGGAGCTGGAACTTCCTCATCTAACCACCAATAGACCACCTGGCCTCAATCAGTCAACTACCTGCAACCAGCCAGTTAACAGAGATTGATGATTAGGGGCTTAAAGGTCATTCAGTCACTCCTCAGTCCCCTAACTCCCTTCCCCTGCTCTGTGTTCTGTGTTTTTTGGCTTTAAAATATCCTATGACCCCTTCTCACAGGACACTTTCATTTTGTACTGAAGGACGTCTCTCTAACCTTTAGACTGCTTTTAGAAAACAAAGTTCTCCTTTTGCCTCTGCAGATTCATTAATCTTTCATTAACAAGTAACATATAAGACTAATAAAAAAGAAATAAAAATATATGTAACAAAGTATAGGTTACACAATATACAAAGTATAGGTCTTGTATTAGGCAAACTGATATACAAATCTTAGCTTCATGTCCAACCCTATAAAGTTGACATCTCTGAGTTTCAGTCTATTCATGTGTAAATTGGGACTACTTCTGCTAAAAGGAATAAGGTGTTGTATACAGGGTGTTTATTAAAGTTACCAGAATATGATAGACATTCAATGAATATTATTACTTTGTGTCAACAACACACTTTTGAAATATAAAAATTATACCTATTTACTAGTATTATTTGTAATACATATTTCATCTGCTGTTATTCTCATTAACCATACAAACTTTCTACATCAAAAGAAAATTAAAAATGATAACTGGTTAATGATAAGATTAGTGAAGTTACATGTGTCAGTCAGAGCGCAGTCATTCAGAACAGTCACCAGAACAGTCATTCAAAAATTCTTTGAGCTTTTAAATCTTAGTGGAAGATGCAATTAAATGTCTTTGTGTTTAATGTACTTCCTGTTTAATTCTTCAGCCTGCCATAACTACATATGAAAAAGTGAACTACAGTGTATTTTTCACATGAAACTATACTCCTTCTTCTTACCTGCATAGCTGAAAATTACATTCATATAGCAAACAACAACAGCATATGTACTTTAATCCAAATACTAAAAGTCCTGAATGTTATAGAAAAAGGATTTGCTGTCAGGTAAATTTTGAAATTTAGGTCTTAGGAGACGATAAACCCTAATAGATGTGTTTAATATCCTATATCTGGCAGTGGTTATGTCTCTTAATATGACTCTGTACTGCATTTTATTTTAATATTACAGAAATATATCTTTAATCTCTAAGTGAAATTATAAAAATGACACAATATGAAATACCTATCATATCTATGAAGATTTTTCATTAGTCTATATTTTATTCTGGGGATCTCAGAAAATCCATCCTTCATTTGCTTGCTATATCCCCAAAGTAATTATTTTTCTATTGTATGTTATATTTTGACACATTACAATTTTCAAAATTTAAAAGTATATTTAAAAACCTGTCATTTACTGCATAATTGTACTGACTACAAATGCTATTTCTGCTGTCAAGACAACATTGAATGAAACTTTTGAACAGCAATGTAGTTTTTCAACTTCTATTAATATGGAGAGAATTTATGGTACAGACAACGTTTAAACAACTGAACAAAACACCAGAATTATGATCATCATTATCATCATTGTTGAATAGGTTCCAGTGATATGTAGTGACAGATGCACTATCAGGACAGAAAGATATCAGTTTTATTGATAGGTATATAAAGATACTAATTGCCTGAAAAATGCTGAAACATGTTTCGAATCTAACTGTTACATAGGAGACAAATTATATGGCTGTGTGACAGCTTAAAACATTTAATTATGTTTAAATATTTCTCTCCAAACTTTAGATGATAAGCAGTTTATACATGATTATGAGAACTAGACTGGACAAGCAAAATAACTAATTTTTTTCATGTCTATATTGAATTTTTTTTAACTTTGAGAAATTCAGCTGGTTGAAAATTGATGCTAAAGGAGGAATGAGAAATTTGTCGCCCATCCACTTCTCAATGTATTGGTTGTCCTCTTCTAGGGTACAATTAAATAACAAAAAAGCTATACATTTGAATGATTTTAGCTTTGGGCATCCAAAAGAATTAAGTATAATGTAACTTTAATTGAGTTACACTTTATTAAAATAAAATTCACTTTTTTTAAATAAAGAGGCAAGTGACAAGAAAATAGGAATACTATTTCAACTTGAATCATAATTTCTGATGATTGATAAGAAATAGGAATACTATTCAACTTGAATCAATTGAATAACAATTTCAATGATAATTATACTTTCATTAAGTATTTATTTCCAAACGATAAAAAATACTCATATATTTTTTATAATTCAAGTGCAATATACTTATTTTGATATACATTAGGAAAATAGTTATATTTAGTAATCATATCTACTAATGTTTAATGTTTTCTTATTTTATGTGCTATCAAATTGTATATTTTCAAAGAATTACCCTGAAAGTCAGTATTACTAATTAATTGCATATTCAGCAGAAAGAAGACAGACTTTTAGTTTAATGAGTTAAAATTATTTTCATTATTAATTAGAAATCAATGGTTGTAAATCCTCTTTACTTTTTCAAGATTTTCCTTTGAACTGTTAATAATCTAAATAACAGTGTTTGTTCTCCAGTACTCATATATTTGGCTTATTTGAAATTTTTTCTTTGGAATGCTCAGAATCTTTATACTGAAAAATAATTCTGAAATATTATTGGAGTTGACAAAACAACTCATAACCAGGGCAATTATGTAAATTCTCTGCTTTACGAAGGTACTATCCTAAAAGTATTACCTTACTAATGACGCCTGAACCTTTCACAGGCCTTAAATAATAGATTTTGGTGGGAAAATGGTGAGAAGCAGAAAGGTAGTTTCCTAGTTGAATAATATATATTGACCAGAGGGAATAGAAAAAGCAATTAAAAAAAAAATAAAATCTTTTTAAGTGATCTTTGCAAGAGAATTTGCTGGCTGACGAAAGACCAGCAAGTAGGAGGGAATGCTGGTTTTATTCATTTTCCTGTGTGAGAAAAGAAATTGATGGGTTGTGTGGGGACTTAAACATCTGAATTTATTTTCAAGGATTTCTTGTATTAGTAAAAAAAAAAATGCTGTTTTTGGAATGGATTGTAGAATACAGAGGAAAAAGACAGAAATTCCACTCAATTATAGTTGCTAGGAGCTAGATGTTCAATATCTGAGCCAAAATAACGACCATGAAAATGAACTGGAGTGGGTATATATTAAAAAAAATGCTTTAGAATTGATCTGTGCTTAGGAATTATGCAATCTAATTTAAAATAATCTAACTCTCCACAATATTATAAACAGGTGGACATTCAATGTTGACAAAAACTTCTCTCTCTAGGAAAAAAACAAAACAAAACATGATGTTCTTTACTTACCTGTTCTCAATCTATCTCTTTTTTGTTCTGTTTCATACTGTATTCCAAGGAATTATTGTTTTTGTTTTTTAAAGCTCAACTCATTCTTTTCTTTAGCATCCTTAATTATACTGTCCTCATTAAGTATTTCTTTTCAAAAGATAAAACAATACACTTTTGTATATCTTTTTTTTTTTTTTTTTTTGAGACGAAGTCTGGCTGTGACCCAGGATGGAGTGCAGTGGCACAATCTTGGCTCACTGCAACCTTGGCCTCCCCAGTTCAAACGATTCTCCTGCCTCAGCCTCCGGAGTAGCTGGGACTACAGCCACATGCCACCACGCCTGGCTAATTTTTGTATTTTTAGTAGAGACGAGGTTTCACCATCTTGATCAGGCTGGTCTCAAACTCCTGACCTCATGATCCACCCCCTCAGGCTCCCAAAGTGCCGGGATTATAAGCTTGAGCCACCGCTCCTGGCACTTGTATGGCTTTTATAATTCAAGTGTGATGTCTTTATTTTGTTATATATTATGAAACGTTATATTTAGTAATCATATCTACTAATTGTTAATGTTTTCTTCTTTTATGTGTCATCAAATTGTGTATTGTTGATGTTGCTCTCATTTGATGCAATGGCATGTGGTTTATTTTTTCTTTTCATATTTTTTAAAGATATAAACCCGCTAATGAGCAACTCCACTTATACATGTATAGCCATTTTACTATTAATAGGTATGTCTCCCTAATTTCTGATTAAATTATCAATGTCAACATTTTATTTTTAATAATCACGGTTTTTCGTAAACATTTTAGGATGATCCTTCTTTCCTTTCTTTTTTCTTTTTCTTTACTTAGGCTTTCTACCAAAGCCTAATTCTATTCAATATTTCTCTTCCTGGCAATTACAATTTAAGAAATAAGTTGGCCGGGCGCGGTGGCTCACGCCTGTAATCCCAGCACTTTGGGAGGCCGAGGCGGGCGGATCACGAGGTCAGGAGATCGAGACCATCCCGGCTAAAACGGTGAAACCCCGTCTCTACTAAAAATACAAAAAATTAGCCGGGCGTAGTGGCGGGCGCCTGTAGTCCCAGCTACTTGGGAGGCTGAGGCAGGAGAATGGCGTGAACCCGGGAGGCGGAGCTTGCAGTGAGCCGAGATCCCGCCACTGCACTCCAGCCTGGGCGACAGAGCGAGACTCCGTCTCAAAAAAAAAAAAAAAAAAAAAAAGAAATAAGTTGAATCCAGATAGACATTTTCTCTGATTCTTTTCCAGTTTACTGAGGGATTAAATTATATATTAAGTCACAGGGCCTGATCTTATTAAAATGAAATTCTTATCTCAGAATTCAGAAAATATTTGAAGCAGGTATTATAGGGATGGGTCACCGTCCAGGCTCACCCAAACACCTGTACAGAGGTTTTTCCATCAATGTGTCTGTGAGACCTTTGAATCAATGACTCATCCTGTTTCTTGGATAGGGAGGCTTCTGTCCAAATCCTTGGCTGTTAGCAAAGGAGGTAACCACAGTTAGAGTTAAGAAAGATACTAATCAAAATCTAGTGGCTCAGGAGACTAATTTTCTGCAGGAAGAGCCATAGACAGTGGGCAGACAGCTATTCAACATAGTCAATGAGAGCAGTGAACAAGGCTCCTCAGCATGGGCATTTTAGAGCCCTCTGTCACATGATTTTGGATAATCCTATGCAGCCATTGGCTAGACTTCCATCCAGATTAATTGACTCTTTTCTGTGGCCATCTCTCAACATTCGCTGCTAACTTGCTTCTTGCCCCAACATACTCTTTCCTTATTCTTGGTCTAGCTAACCTTACGTAGTGTCTTTAGAGTGAAGAGCAGAATTTTCTCTTTTTATTGACACTATTATTGTGTTTATAGTATGAAATTGTTGATTCTCTTCCCTTGGTATATTCCATTTTGATTTTCAAAAGTCTAATTAGGAAGCAAAAACAAAACAAAAAATAATGTAATATAAACATTATACACGCTACATTTTGTATAATGCTCTCCGTTTTCTTCAAGGCCCTGCAGATGACTGTAAATGACAAGCAAGAGGGCATTTATTTTTAATCTGTTTTACAATGATAGCTCCAAGCCTTGACAGTTTTTGTTTCGTGGCTCACTGTTACTTTACACAACGTTACTTTTATTTTCATACTGTTTTCACAGACATGTAGGCAATTTTCTAACATTTTAGCCAACCCTGTCCTAGCATTCTTCTTTAGGATATTATCCTCTACTTCATCTCTGTATCTGACTTCCACAGTCATATTTACAATGTTATTAAAACAAATAACTGAAATATGTCCATAATTTCATACATCTAACCTTCAACTGCTACATCTTATTCTTCCTCACCTAATTTTCTCTTGTACCATGAGCTCAACAATCCTTCAACCCCATGGAGGCCTCCAATTCATTGTTTCTACTGCCTTTTGAATATCCCCCATGCAATTGGTGTCCCTGATGCTTTCCTTACCTATGTTTAATGATTATAATCACTCTTTGTATATTCCTTCGGTACCATTGTTCTTCTTGTTTTTGTAAACACTTGCAAAACCATGGCCCTGGCTAGATTGATCTCTTTGCCTACTTCACATCTGTATCAATGCAACTGACTATGGCTAGAATAAGAAAAAAAAATACAACCACATGTGATGATCTCACTTTAAATTCATGATTAAAACCTCAAGTGAGCCATTAAGGCTGTAGCCAATCATACTCCAATTCTCCAGTCTGTTTACTCTTCCTGTCTTCTACATGCTGATTTTGTAATTTCCCCTTTTTGAAGACCTTGAAGACTTGCTTTCCCATCCTCAAATTTCTGCCAGTGGCCACATTTCCTGCACTGCTGACCAAACTGAAGGAGTTAGAAAGGGATTTTCAGGCTCTTCTAACCAATGTCTGCACTCAGATATAGTTTTTTTGTTTTGTTGTTGTTGTTTTAGGTGGAATCTCACTCTGTCACCCAGGCTGGAGTGCAGTGATATAATCATGGCTTGCTGCGGCCTCAAATTTCTGGGCTCAAGCAATCCTTCTGCCTTAGCCTCCCAAGTAGCTAGAACTACAGGCACATGCCACCATGCTAGGCTAAGTTTTAAAAAATATTTTGTAGTGACAGAGCTCGCTATGTTGCCCAAGCTAGTCTTCAACTCTGGGCTCAAGCGATCCTTCCACCTTGGCCTTCAAAAGTGCTGGGATTACAGGCATGAGCCATGTGCTGGACCAGATACTGTCATTTTTTTTAATACCATATGTAAACTCTCTATACTTCCTCAGAAGTCATTTTCTCCATTTGTGCATCCAATTCTATCTCCTCTTTTCTGCTTAAGGCATTATTTCAGAACTCCACTCTTTTTCTATTATGATTTTCACCTCTCTAGTAGATTGTGCCCATCAAAATTCTCAGTTCTCACCTTACTTGAACTTGTAAGAACAGTTAACAGAGCTATTAATTCCCCTTGTATTATTTTATTCAACTTGTTTCCAGAATGCATCATTTTCTTTATTTTTTCCCACCTCTTGCCTTATATCACTGGTTGCTCCTTCTTGATTCCTATTACTTCTTCCTATACTTCCTTCCCAACCATTTATTTTGGACTGTACGGAACATCACTTTTTTTCCACTTCTATCAACATTCACTATCGTAGTGACCTTATCAAGCCCCATGACTTCAAACCCCCTCTCTATGTGAATGACTTTCAAATTTATTGCTCCATATCGTTAGCATGCTAATCTGCTTCTCCACTTGGATATAAAAGTATAAATATCTTAACCACAACATATCCAAAACTAAATTTCTGATCTCCCAAAAAAGCCTAGGCTGTTTTCAAGTCCATACTTTCCTTTGGTCAGAACAGCAACTTTGAAATCATCTTGAATCAGACTTGAATCAATTTTTTTTTTCTTTTCCCTAATGGCTTTTACCCAATATGGCAGCCATTCCCACTGGCTTTATTTCAACAATATATCCAAAATAAATGTACTTGTCATCAATTTTACAGCTACAATATTGGACCAAACCATGATCATTTCTTATGTAGCTCACTAAAATAGCCTCCTCACTACAGTCTACTCTCAAATCAGCAGAAGAAGTGATTCTTTTATAAATGAAAGTTGGATCATATCACTTATCTCCTGAAAATCCTACAATGTCTCCACTCCCTGTGTCAGCGTAAAAACCAACGTGTCTTCAATGACTTATGAGGTTCTACATGATATATCTGTTTGTCTCTACTCTCCATTTGTTTTCTGACTATATCTCCTCCTTGCTTATTTTGCTTTAGCCACGTGTACTTCTCGATTTTTGAACAAGCTAACATGCTTCTTCCAAGATCTTTCTCCTAGTTGTTTCCGCTGCCTATATTTCTTGGCTCATGACTACTTTCTCCATCTTAAAGCCCAGCAGCATAGTATCTTTAAATTTGAATCTCTCTCTCTTTTCCTTTCCCTCTCTCTCCCTCCCACTTCTGCTTCTGTGATGTCTGTTTCCTTGACTCTGACCCTAAACTCTTCCTTTTTTATGGACCCTTGTGATTGGACTGACTTGGATAATCTAGAATACTTCTCCCTTCTCAACATCATTAACCATTTAGCTAAAATATTTATAGATTCTAGTGATTAGGATGTGGATATCTTTGGGGTAGGGCACAACTCTTTCTACCATAATCACTCAGCTTTGTTATCAGGCCAGTGCTTATAAATAAGATCATAAAGAGAATAGCCTTATTGGGGTGATTCTTTATGGATCTCTCAAGTGTCTGAATGTGTTACAAAGCAAGACACTGACCACCATTTGTTCTGGATTACTACATTTGTACTAATTTGTTACAGCAGCAATAGGAAAGTAACACAGATATATTCACAAGGCAGGAAATACTGTCCTCTAGATTGTTGAGAGTTCTTTCTGTGTATGCTGTCTATACTGAATACCTGGCTAAATATGGCCAATTTAAAAATGAAGACACACTGCTAAAAGTTCATTTTTCTAACCTTATCATCTAAATCAAGCTCAGTAGATACCGACACCAATTTATTTTAGCTCATGTCACAAGCCAATGTGAGTTAAAGACTGAGGTTTCTTCTCCAGAGATCCAGGATCACCAATTTAGTGACATCCGTTATTTTCACATGTGTCCAGTGTCAAAAATAGAAAGAGTTGCATATGACCCAGAGGATAGTTTATGCAGAGTGTGGAAGTGGTGTACATAATTTCTGCTCACACTGCATTACCCAGAATGTGGTCACAAAACCCCACCTATCTATTAGATGTTACTTGCAACGTATTACTTGTATTTTTATTTTATAGATGAATGTGTGCTGAGAAATACGTAACTTATTGTAAGAAAAATAAATAACTTTTCTAAATGTACACAGCCCTTTATTTAGGGCACCAATTTCCATCCAGACAATATAGAATAATAGTTGCAAAGGCCTAGTTTGGAAATACTTTCTTTTGTGTTTTATAAGGTAATGGCAATTTTAAATATAGTCCACTATATATACTTTATACTACAATAGAGTTTACTATATTATACACGCTACTAGAATCCAAAATTCTACTAGATTCTTTTGTAATTCTTTATACCTACTTTGTCAGTCCATGTATTTGGTCTGAAGAGATCGGTAATCTTACATTGCCCAGGGATTTTTTGTTTCATCCCTCTTTTAGGCTTGTAAGACATGGATCTCAATCGGTATCAGGTATATTCTCTCCCTACACTTTGTGGATTGATACTGAGTCCAATAACTGATTATTTTTAATAGCAGAGAACTTTCCAAGTACTTACTGAAGATTATGCATTCAAATGTACTTATTTTAAAATACAGCATGCTGACGTAAAAGGAAGTCCCCGTTATTTACATAATATGTGTAAGCATATTTTTATCCAAGACAAAATCAATCAACCCAAAACAAGAAAAAAATTTTTTAAACTGAAATTTAAAAATACATACTTTAACAGTTAAATATTCTTAGAAACATATGCAACTCACAAGACCAAAATAAATTATAATTAAATTATGAGAGGCAGATAATTTTAATTTAGGTGAAAGAAGCATCTACTTTCTCTTACAAATTTGAGGGGCTAAAAATGAGAAAGACCCTTAAGGAGCACACTATTATCTGTCCTGATATCCATGCCTGGGTGGAGTATCCTTTCTATGTGGCTTCATAACACCAAGAATTTCTCTTATCTTAGCATTTATCATGCCAGATTATAATTTTCTGTTTACTTCCCTGTATCCTCCAATTATCTGGTAAGCTTCAGAAGGACAAGAATCATGAACCTCTTGTGTATTTCAGTATCTTCAATGTAATAATAACTGATTGATTTATATATTCAACAAATATTTACTGAATAAGTGAACAACTGATTTAATAAAAAATAACCTAAATATCCCTAGGCTTCCTTCAATAAATTTACATTAAAATTAAAGAAAAAACATTTGAAGAGAGTATCTCTTTTCTTAAATGCAGTGCAAGCCAGAAGACAGTCATGTTTATTTAGTGCTTAATATGTTTAAGATGTTCTGCTAGAATGTGATAGCCAATGAAAATATGTATCTTGATACAGTAAAAATAGTTCTATCAGAAAATAAGGGAAGAATCCAGAATCAGCCATACTACATGTTACAAAACTCCTTTTGGCAATACTGTGCATTCAACTCATTGTGAGTTGAGATCTGAAACAAGATTATATTTCTCTATTGTCTGCACTCAATCTAGAATTCCTCTCAATAACTTTCCCTTGGGAAAGTGAACTGAATCTACTGGTGTACATTGTGACATGTCCAAATTAATTTTTGACCTCTGACCTCTGAAGTTCACTTAATTGACTGCATCTAGGATTATGGTCTCCTCTGTTCACTACAGATCTTCTTTTATCCTTTCCAAATGACCTCTATCCTCCCATTAATAAAAAGTTAAGTCCTTATAGGAAGTTAATAAAAAGAAAGAAAAGCTTGCAGTATCTGTCTCATGAGATTTGTGATCTAGACAAGAGATGATAAAAATACTATGAAAGTATATATGAATAATCATATCTTACATATGAGATTTGCTAAATATTAATGAAGCATGGTAATCAAAGACATGAATAAAGGCAAAGAAACTGTAAGAAAATTGAGTCTTAAAGAAAGGAGAAATAATCTTGTTATGGCCTGAATGTTTGTGCCCTCTCAAAATTCATATGTTGAAACCTAACCCTCAATGCCATAGTATTAAGGGTGAGGACTTAGATTATGGGGACAGAGCCCTCATTAATGGGATTGGGCCCTTATAAAAGAGGCCAAAGAAAGCTTGTTCATCCCTTCTATCATGTAAGGATACAGTTAGAAGGCGCCATCTATGAGGAACAGATCCTCATCTGACACTGAATCTGCCAGTATCTTGATCTTGGAATTCCCAACCTCCAGAATTGTCTGAAATAAATTTACATGTTTTTAAAACTACCCAGTCTGTGGTATTTACTTATAGCAGCCAAAATGGAGTAAAATAGATATTAAGTGTGGATAAAACATAGTCAAAGAAACAATGAAAATATTAAAACTAGCCACATAAGCATGTTTTATAAAATATAATACTAATATATAATCACTATGTAATTGAGAGAAGAAAGAAAGCTGGGCATTTACTGTAACCAACATATTTGACAATAGTTTTTTTTTTTTTTACTTCTTTCCAACTCTCCAAGAAAAGAATAATAATTTGGGATTGAGTTAGTTTCTCTGCCTATCTTTAAAAGACACTGTGTATATTTAGGCTACAAAATAATTTTCACTCAGTGATGTAGTTGTTATTTTTGATGAACAGCGTGGAGTTGCTGGATGTGCCTTGCCTGTTAGAAAATCCACAGGAAAAGAGAGTATATGAATGTGCAATTTAATTATCTGAGGATAAATCTCTTTGAATATTTTTATTCATACCATGAATACAAAGATAACCTCTTACTTTTATGAGACATTTGTTTTTGCATATCTACTCTAATAATTATTGAAATAAGATTATGAGAAATAAATGTAGTTTTACAACCCTGCTCCTTTAACCATATTTAAGGGTGTAGAATATTTCCTCTTCACTATTGAAAATACATATCTGACTGATTAAAAATTTTAAAGAAGTAGAAGAATATAAATCTTAATTTTTTTTTTATTTTTAACCTATAAACATTCTCATTGTTTTATTTTTAAAATAACCAAACCTATTAGGGCAGGTATTAGATATGAATGAGTAATGGAAAATTAAATCATGTGATTTAATAAAGTTGTCAAGCTCTACTCCCATAGGCCAGAATTCTGCTTCCATAAAGTCTGGTGAAAATTTTTTGTGTTCATGACATAAATTTTTTTTGTCCTTAATTATATTTGTTTATTTTTAATGACAAATATTTGTTTTTAATTCTTCAGCTTTTTTTAAATTATTATTATAATTCAAGTTGTAGGGTACATGTGCACAACGTGCAGGTTTGTTACATGTACCATGTTGGTGTGCTGCACCCATTAACTCGTCATTTAGCATTAGGTATATCTCCTAGTGCTATCCCTCCCCCCTCCCCCCACCCCACAACAGTCCCCGGTGTGTGATGTTCCCCTTCCTGTGTCCATGTGTTCCCATCGTTCAATTCCCACCTATGAGTGAGAACATGCGGTGTTTGTTTTTCTGTCCTTGCGATAGTTTGCTGAGAATGATGGTTTCCAGTTTTCATAAGATATAAACTTTTTCATTACGAAATTTTTCTCATTATACTAAAAATTTTGAGAAATAAATGAAAACATTTAAAGTTGTTCAAAAGTGTATTACCTTTTTAAAAACCAAGTAAATGTAGGAGAATAAAAGTAGTTCCAGGTTTTACTTGAGTCTATAAAATTAATTCTTTTCAATTGATATTTTATGATTTCCTTTGTATCTAGCATTTTGAACATGTGAAATTAAAATGTCTGTATGGTGCTAGAATAGCCTATCATTTTACCTCATCTTTATTATTGTAGTCATAATCTTTGCAGTCAGAGGTATTTATAATTGGTATTTGAAAAACATGGAAGCCAAGGCAAATGGGTGTGTGGGCTAAAGTGCCAGGAATGGAATCAAGGTAAATATATTCTATGAATATTACAATCAATCAATAAATAGAGTTGGTATCAATACTTGTGCCAGGGACTTTGGATGACTAATATTGTTTATTTATATTAAAGAAACAAAAAAGGGCTTCATTATTTTTCAAATTGTAAAGATTATGAAATTAATGCTTCTATTATGTAATTTCTCTAGGATTACATATCAGGTAAATGGCACCGTCAGAAGTGTAATCCAAGGATATCTGATTCTAATGTTCAAACTCTTAATTATAATAATTCTTACTGCCTTAGTATACAAGCCCATATGCAAACTAAGTTATTTGGAAGGCGAGGAGTAGACTTACTATCTGCCTGCCTGGGCTCATGAAAGAGAGGAAAATAAAAGATAATTTTAAATGAAGTGAGTATGTTCTGGTCATCTCTTGCTATATAATACACCCTTAAATCTCTTATGTTTCTGAGGGTGACTGGGCTTAGCTAAGCAATTCTCAGTTGGGATCTCCTGGACTTTCAGTCAATTGGTGACTAGGGCTCGTATCATCTCCAAGGTTTCTTCATGTCCATGACTGGCAGTTCATGCTGACTGTCAGGTAGAAATTCAGGTAAGATTTTTAGTCAGGACATCTTCACGTGTCCTCTTTGTGTGTCCTGGGCTTTCTCGCAGCATGACAGATTGGTTCCAACAACACGCACCCAAGAAGGAAAGCCAAGTGGAAGCTTTTACAACTTAACCTCTGAAGTCATGTGAGTTCAACAACCTATTTGTAAGAAAATGAGGCATCAAAGCCAATTGATATTCAAGGGGGGAAAATTAGACTTCACTTTTGGCTGAAAGGAGTGCCATATTTTAAAGGCACTTCAGTGTACATATTATACACATATTGTAATCTCATTTTTTTCTTTAGTGTCAGCTAGTAGACTAATTTATTAATTCCTTGCCAGTTGTTAGAGCATCAGCTACACAAATATAAGAATTAGTCTGATCATACTTGACACATCCTTTGGAGTCCTCTGGTGCAATAACTGTTTAACTACCCATTAGAATCGAAACCCTTGAACTAGACACAATTAGATAATGAGATGGAATAAAAAGAATACCTTTATAGAAATTAGAAACCTGGCTTCCTGGCTTTATCCCTTATTAGCCAATGTATACTTGGGCAAGTCCCTGAAATTCTTGCACTACAACTTCACCATCTTTGAAAATGGAATGCATATATTTGTTTGAGTTTCAAATGAGATAATGGAAAAAATACTATGGTATAAAATTTTCTCAATGTATATGAGGATTTTGAGAAGGGGGAAAGTGGCCTACTCATTAAGTTAAGTAAATATGCTGCTTCTAATAAGCTGACTTTGAAAGTATCTATGGAGACTTAAATAAGGACATTTATAGAATAGTTCTTAGAGGAAATCTACCAAACCCTTATTTTACAAGTGAAAGAAAATGAGACCAAAGTTTTTACAAGTGATGAAAATGATACAAATGAAGAAAATGACACCTTGTGCAACATCACAGACCACTGGGCAGAGGCGTAAATTCAGAAGCCCTTGACCAGAGCTTGAACTATGATATTCTCATTTAGAATTCTATTTAACTTACAGGCAAGAAACTATATAATTTGTTTAACATTATAATCACCATATTTATACTTTGCTTGATTTTTTATGCATTAGCTTAATTGACATAATTTTGCTTCTGTATTGATAACTGTTTTGCATAATCTTTTTGTAAATTTCACCATTTGAAGCCTACATTTTATCACTTTGTATGCTTTTGTATGCTTCTAAGTTATTCTTACAGTCTAAAACCAATGGTTTAGTAATAATCATGTCTAAATTCCCTCCCCACCTCCTCGGTCAAGAGAGGTACAAAAGGAAGTGTATCTGATTCTTGTGATTTACTGGTGAGGTGAAAGCAAATATAGGTCAGGAAATAACTAATCAACTGACTGCAGAAACAAAACTAAAACGTAGTAATGATCTCTGAAGACATTATTCTTTTATGTTCTCTTTCTGTCTCTTTCTGCCTCTGCCTCTGTCTTTGTCTCTGTATCTGTCTATCTCTGTATCTATAGAATATATCCTAGCATTCCATTTATGGAAGTGAAGCTAATTTCAGAAAGAAATAAGCTAGTATTTTGAAGTATATGCAACATATTTTATAGCGTATTTAAAGAGCTCACCTTAAGTTTTCAGCAAAAAGTGTCTTAGAATAAGATGTACCTTCAAATTGTTTCATTCATGTATTATATATCTGTTATTAATTTGAGACCATACATGGTGCTAAAGACAAAGAGCAGCTAGAGTTTTGTGGATATGGCTGATAACTGTTCATCATGGTGGCTCATGTTCAGTAACCTATTACTGGAGTCATAGGAAAAAGTACTTTTGAGGGTTGCTGACAAAGACAAGGAGAGTCAAGAGGTCAATGTTTTGTTAGTGACCTTTCAGATAAATACTTAAGGGTTGAGGAAGAGTATTTGTGATAAAGGTTAGAGACTGCAGAAAACAACATTTGACACATAGAACAAACAAAACACATTCAGTTTGGGTGAAATGGCAGCAAAAAATAGGTATTTAAGCAGAAGATAAATCATGACATTAATTATAAACCACATTCAGTGGTTTTAATTCTATCCCTAGAATCGTGAGAAGACTCAGAATGAAGTATTTTTCCTCTTCCAATAATTGGGATCAGTTTCTCTGCATCTCTTTTTTATAAGTGATTTCTGATGTTCTAAGCCTAGAGTCAATCCCTACTTTTCTTTGCCAATATTTATCAAACAATACTTATTCATGTCAGGATAAATTGCAGATATATTAATTTGTACTTTGTACTTTTAAATAAAATAATTATTGAAAAATGAGAGTTTTTAAATTTTTGTTGGTTCAATTTCCCACCTCCAGCCATACTTTCCATCCTCCATCACCTTAAAAATGTAAATAGGTACATAATATACTCAAGAGTTTTAGGTTTTGAAGTCTTGGAGTTTCTTTTGTTCTAAGAGAAGATTTAAGACACGTTTTAAAAATTATGTTTTTACTAATATCTTGAGTTGGACACATAAACTCAGATGTTAACTAGAATAAAGTAAGTAAACTGAATTAGTGAAATTGGTCATGTTTAAGAAATCAATGGGAAGTTAAAATAATTAACTGTAAAATATATTTTGAAGAATAATTGGATACAATTTAAGATAGCTTGAGTACTGGATGACATTAAGTCATTATTGCTATTGTTTAGATGTCTTAATAATATTGTCATTATATAGAAAAAGGCATTTATTTTTTAGAGATGTACATTGAAGTATTTGGAAGTAAGTATCATGATATCTGCATTTCACTTCATAACATTTTGCCAACAATGGGAAATAAGTGTAAAAAAGGAATGAGTAAAGAGGGCTAGGCAGTCGGCTTAACTGAAGATAAGTCTTATAAATTGAGAGCCATTACTCAGATTTTCACACATGAAAAATAAAGGTTCAGGATTGGCCAGATGTTCATTTTTTGACATATAAGTTCAAACTTCTGATTTATAAAATATAAAACCACCTGAGTTTTACATTTTGGTAATTATTTATCAAATTTTAAATGATTTTTATATCAAACAGAGCATCTTTAAGACCTATAAGTCTTTAGACCATCTTTGAAATCTGTAGCTTCAGTTTATGCACAAATATAGGAGAATGAACTCTGAGATTTGGAGCATGAGGAGGCAGAAGCAACCATCTGAGGAGAGTTGTTGGATGTAGACTTCTAAACTAGGGGGTGGACCTGTAAACTAGGAAGCAGGCATGGTACCCGAAGTGTTCAAGTAGTGCATGCACAGAAGGTGGTGGGATTGAGAGAGCTACATTTCAGAAAGATGTTTATGTAAATCCTCCTTGTTTCAAGAACCACTGGGGCTTGAACTCTAACCATATTTTTACAGACAAGTATGAATCTATGAATGTCTATGAGTTTTGGAATCCTCACTGGGTCACTGCCTAGTAGAGCTGTGAGAAGAGGACCAGCATTCTCCAGACCCCAGGGTGGTAGATCCACTGACAACTTGCACTGTGTTCCTGGAAAAGCTTCAGACACTCAATGCTAGCCCATGAAAGCAGCCAGGAGAAGGGCTATACTCTGCCTAGCCACAGCGGCAGAACTGCCCAAGACAATGGGAGTCTACCTATTGCATCAGTGTGACTTGGACGTGAGACATGGAGTCAAAAGAGATCATTTCAGATCTTTGAGATTTAATGACTGCCCCTTTAGGTTTTGAACCTGCGTGGGGCCTGTGACCCCTTTGTTTTGGTCAATTTCTCTTATTTGGAATTGAAGCATTTATCAAATTCCTGTACCCCCATTGTATTTTGGAAGTAACTAACTTGTTTTTGATTGTACAGGCCCATAGGCAGAAGGGACTTGCCTTGTCTCAGATGAGACTTTGGACTTGGACTTTTGAGTTAATGCTGAAATGAGTTAAGACTGAGGTACTGTTGAAAAGACATGATTGGTTATGAAATGTAAAAAGGACATGAAATTTGGGAAGAGCCTGGGCGAAATAATGTGATTTGGCTCTGTGTCCCCACCCAAATCTCATCTCAAATTGTAATCCCCCTAATGCCCACGTGTCATGGGAGGTGATTGAATCACAGGGACAGTTTCCCCCATGCTGTTCTCATGATAGTGAGTGAGTGAGTTCTCATTAGATCTTATGGTTTTATAATGAGCTCTCTTGCTCTCCCTTTTGCTCTCTCTTGCCTGCCACCATGTAAGATATGCTTTGCTTGCCCTTTGCCAACATGATTTTAGGTTTCCTGAGGCCTCCCCAGAACTGTGAGTCACTTAGACCCCTTTCCTTAATAAATTACCCAGTCTTGGGCAGCTCTTTATTGCAGTGTGAAAACTGACTAATACAACACATTCAAATGAGGGTAATCAGAGTTAAAACTAGAGCTAGGGGAAAGATATTCTTTTCTGCTATTCTTGTGAACTCTGAGTAGATTATCTTAGGAGAACCTCTGTGTGGAGAATGCAAGAGAGCAGTGAAAGAGAATGTAGGAGGCAAATATAGAAAGGCAGAAAAGAGGTAATTAGATATGCCTGCTAGCATTTGAGGTATTGGTTTCACATTTTTTCAAAGCCAATTTTCAAAGAAGTCAGTATATCTTCTTGATCTGCTTAAGATAGATAATTCTATAATAATATATGTTTTTCAAAAGGTCAGAATATGTAGAGAACTAAGGTACAGAGTAATAGCTGCAGGAGTGAAGGGTAGATTAGGGCTTTATAAATTATATATATATATAATATTATAATATTATATATATAATTTATAAATAAATCAGATAAATGAGAGATTATATATATATGATATCTGAATACACACACACACACACACACACACACACACACATATATAGGTAAACTTTAAACACATATAGAAAGGACCCAATAGTGAAAACTTTAGCAAATCAAACTGAAAATATAATTCTTAATTATATAACACACAAATAAGGAGCGACTTAGACTGACCTGCAATAATAGTAGTTTATCTTTAATAAATAGGGTTAGTTTACCAAAGTAATTACAAAAGACTACCTTTTTAAAAAAATTAATGTAAGTGTTCAAATGAGGAATTTTAATGTGAAGCAGTGTTGAATTTTATTGAAAGATTTTTCTGTATCTATTGAGATGATCATGTGGTTTTTATCTTTAGTTATGTTTATGTGATGAATCATGTTTATTGATTTATGTATATTAAGCCAACCTCACATCTCAGGGATAATCCCCACTTGATCGTGGTGAATGAGCTTTTTGATGTGCTGCTGAATTTAGTTTGCAAGTATTTTTTTGAGGATTTTTTCATAGATATTCATGAAGGATATTGGCATGAAGCTTTCTTTAGTTGTGCCTCTGCCAGATTTGGTGCTGGCCTCATAGAATGAGTTAGGGAGGAGTCTCTCCTTTTCAAATTTTGGAACAGTTTCAGTATGAGTGGTAACAGCTCTTCTTTGTACATCTGGTAGAATTTGGCTGTGAATTCATTTGGCTTTTTTTCATTCATAAGCTATTTATTACTGATTCCATTTTAGAGCTTGTTACTGGTCTATTCAGGAATTCAATTTCTTCCCGGTTCAGTCTTGGGAGGGTATATTGCCCAGAAATATATCCCAGTTCAGTCTTGGGAGGGTATATGTGCCCAGAAATGTATCAATTTCTACTAGATTTTCTAATTTGTGTGCAGAGAGGTGTTCATAATATTCTGTGATGGTGATTTGTGTTTCTGTGTGGTCAGTGCTTATACCCCCTTTGTCATTTCTAATTTGTGTTCATTTGGATATTCTCTCTTTTCTTCTTTATTAGTCTAGCTAGTGGAAACCAAGTATTGAGGGAACACACCTCAAAATAATCAGACACATCTGTGACAAACCCACAGCCAACATCATACTGAAGGGATGAAATCTGGAAGCATTCCCTTTGAAAACCAGCACAAGATAAGCATGTCCTCTATCACCACTTCTATTCAATATAGTATTAGAATTCCTGGCCAGAACAATCAGGCAAGAGAAAGAAATAAAGGCATCCAAATGGAAAGAGAAAAAGACAAACTATCCCTGTTTGCAGATAACATGATCCTATATCTAGAAAACCCTATAGTCTCAGGCCAAAAGCTCATTAAGTTTATAAACAAGTATAGCAAATTTTCAGGATACAAATCAATGTAGAAAAATCACTAGCATTCCTGTACACCAACAATACTCAAGCTAAGAGCCAAGCAATTTGATCCATAATAATCACGAAAATAATAAAATACCCAGGAATACAGCTAACCAGGGAGGTAAAAGATCTCTACAATGAGAACTACAAAACACTGCTCAAAGAAATCAGAGATGATATTAAGAAATGGAAAAATATTTCATGCTTATGAATAGGAAGAATCAATATAATTAAAATGACTATACTGCCCAAAGCAATTTATAGATTCAATGCTATTCCTATCAAACTATTGTAGAGATCCTTCACAAACCTAGAAAATAACTGTTTTAAAATTAATATGGAATCAAAAGAGAGCCCAAATAGCCAAGGCAATTCCCAGCAAAAAGAACAAAGCTGGAGGCATTATGCTACGTGACTTTAATCTATGCTACGGTGCTGCAGTAACCAAAACTGCATGGTACTGGCACAGAAACAGACATATAAACCAATGGATCAGAACAGAGAGCTCAGACAAGTCTATACATCTACAACCGTCTGATTTTGACAAAGCTAAAAAAAAAACAAGCAATGGGGAAAGGATTACCTAGTCAATAAATGGTGCTGGGATACCTGGACAGCCATATGCATAAGATTGAAACCAGACCCCCTGCTTACACCATATGCAAAAATTAACTCAAGATAGATTAAATACTTAAATGTAAAACCCAAAACTATAAAAACCCTGGAAGACAAGCTAGGCAATACCATTCAAGACATAGGAACTGGCAAAGATGCTAAAGGTAATTACATGATAAAGATGCTAAAGGTAATTACAACATAAGCAAAATTTGACAAGATCTAATTAAACTAAATAGCTTCTGTACAGCAAAAGAAACTATCAACAGAGTAAGCAGACAACCATCAAAATGGGAGAAAATTTTTGTAAACTATGCATTTGGCAAAGGTCTAAAATCCAGCATTTATAAAGTACTTAAATTTACAAGAAATGAAAACAAATAGCCCCAATAAAAAGTGGGCAAAAGACATAAACTGACACCTTCCAAAAGAAGACATACATTCAGCCAACAAGCATGTGAAAAAAAATCAGCATCACTGATGATTAGAGAAATGCAAATCAAAACCACAATGAAATACCACCTCACACCAGTCAGAATGGCTATTATTAAAAAGTCAAAAAATAACAGATGATGATAAGGTTGCAGAGAAAGAGGAAGGCTTATACATTGTCGGTGTGAGTGTAAATTAGTTCATTTATCATGGAAAGCAGTGTGGTGATTCCTCAAAGAGCTAAAAGCAGACTACCATTCAACCCACCAACAACATTACTGGATATATATCCAAAAGAATATAAATCATTGTATCATAAAGACACATGCATGTGTATGTTCATTACAGCACTATTCACAATAGCAAGGGCATGGAGCCAGCCTAAATGCCCATCAGTGGTAGACTGGATAAAGAAAATGTAGTACATATACAACACCAAAAACTATGCAGCCATAAAAAAAGAATAAGATTATGTCCTTTGTCAGAATATGGATGGAGCTGGAGGCCATTATCCTTAACAAACTAATGCAGGAACAGAAAACCAAATCACATGTTCTGAATTATAAGTGGGAGCTAAAAGATGAGAACACATGGACTTGTAGAGGGAAACAACAAACACTAGGGGCTACCTGATGGTGGAGTGTGGGAGGAGGGGGAGGATCAGTAACAGTAACTAATGGCCACTAGGCTTAATACCTGGATGATGAAATAATCTGTACAGCAAACCTCTATGAAACAACTTTCCCTATATAACAAACTTCGCATATACACATGAACTTACAATTAAAAAAAAAAACCTCAAAATGTATTAAAGACTTTAAACTTAAGGCCTGAAATCATGAGATTAATATAAGAAAATATAAGGAGAAACCTCTGCAATATTGGTATGGCTAATAATGTTTTTGGATAGGACCCAAAAAGCCCAGACAACAAAAGCAAAAACAAACCAATGGGATTATATAAAACTGAAAAGCTTCTTTACAGCAAAAGAAGTAATCAACAGAATGAAGAGACACCTAAAGAGTGGGGAAAAAAAATTTGCAAATCATCCATTTGATGAGGGGTTAATATCTAAAATATAGAAAGAACTCATCCCAATAGCAAGAATATAAATAACCTGATTTAAAAAATGGATAAAATACTTGGATAGCCATTTTGCAAGAGAAGATATACAAATAGCAGACATGTATATGGAAAAACCCTCAATCACCAATACAGAAATGTGAATTGAAACCACGAGGAGATATCAACTGTTCAAGTTCGCTGTTATCAAAAAGATGAAGATAATAATTGTTGGCAAATACATAAAGAAAGGAGAACATTCATACACTATTGATAAGAATGTAATTAGTATATCTAGTATTGAAAACAGCATGGAGGTTCCTCAAAAAATTAGAAATAGAGCTATCATATTATCCAGCAATCCTACTACTTGTTATATGTCCAAAGGAAGTGAAATCAATATGTCAAGGAGATATCTGCACTCCCATGTTAGTTGCAGCATTATTCACAATAGTCAAGGTATGAAATCAACCTATGTGTCCATGGAGGAATGAATGCATAAAGAAAATGTGTATATGTATATATATATATATATATATACACACACACACACACATACATACAGCCACACATATACACACACACACAATGAAATACTGTTCATCTTTTAAAAAGAAGGAAATCCTGTCATCATGACAAAATGGTTGAACCTGGGGTATATTCTGTTAAGTAAGCCAGACACAGAAAGAAAAATGCCACATAATCTCACTTATATTTAGAATATTAAAAAAGTTGAATTAATGGAAGTAGAGATTAGCATGATGGTTATCAGGGTCTGGGGATGGAATTGGATAGGGAGATGTTGGTCAAAGGAGAAAACATTTCAGTTATATAAAATAAGTTCAACAGATCTATTGTACAACATGGTGACTTTATTTAATAACTGTGTTGTATTCTTGAAAATTGCTAAGAGAGTAAATATTAAGTGTCCTCAATATAAAAAATTATAAGTATGTGAGAAAATGATGTTAATTAACTCAATTTAGCCAGTCCAAATATATGTGTGTTTCACCTTATGTTGTACATAATAAATATACATACTTTTTATTCATAAATTTTAAAACATAAGTAAAATGAGGCATTTAAAAAGTTCTAAGGACAAGTAATATACAATATTATATAATAATTTTAGCTTTTGTTGTTTTTTTCCCTTGATCCTTATTCTATGCACTTTCCTTCATGTAAGCAAAGTGACGCTACATTAAAATTACAAGTAAATTTTAGTGCAATTAGTAATATGCTACATATTAAACAATAAATAACCAGTTCTCTCAAAATGTACTTGTTAAAATTTGTTTGGAATTTTTGTTTATCTTATGTTGATATTTAAATTAAATGAAACATGATTGAAACCTTATTTAGCCAGCTTTGCATGTGAGCCTGATAGAAAGTGAGAGTTTTATAGAAAGTATGTACACCATGATGTACCACATAATGACTTTTTGGTCAGTAATGAACCACATATATGACGGTGGTCCCATATGATTGTAATGGAGCAGCCCTACACAGGTGTAAATTTTTTTTATCATTTATAGTGTATTTTTACTATACCTTTCCTATGTTTACACATGTTTAGACACACAAATACTTACCATTGTGTTTCAATTGCTTACAGCAGGGGTCTCCAAACCCTGGGCCACAGACCAGTACTGGTCCCTGGCCTGTTAGGAACTAGGCCACAGAGCAGGAGGTGAGCGGAAGGCTGTATTTACAGCCACTCCAAATTGCTCACATTAACACCTGAACTCCACCTCCTCTCCGATCAGTGGTGGCATTAGATTCTCATAGAAACCTGAACCTTACTGTGAACTGCGCCTGCCAGGGATCTAGGTTGTGCACTACTTATGAGAATCTAATGCCTGATGACTTGTCACTGTCTCCCATCATCATCCCCAGATGAGACAGTCAAGTTGCAAGAAAACAAGCTCGCTGCTCCCACTGATTCTACATCATGGTGAGTTGTATAATTATTTCATTATATATTACAATGTAATAATAATGGAAATAAAGTGCACAATAAATGTAATGTGCTTGAATCATCCCAAAGCCATCTCCTGAAACTCTGTTCTGAGAAAAAATTGTCTTTCACAAAACTGGTTCCTGGTGCCAAAAAGGTTGGGGACTGTTGGCTTATAGTATTTCATACAGTAGCATACTGTACAGGTTGTAAGCCTAGGGGAAATTGGCTATACCATATAGCCTAGGTGTGTAATAGTCTATACCATCTAGGTTCCTGTAAGTACACTCTGTGATGTTTATACAAGGATGAAACCACCTAATGATACATTTCTCAGAATGTTTCCCTGTCTTTAGGCAATGCAAGACTCTATGAAAAGAGAATAAAAGCAAATTGTATTTATTATATTTTTGTTTTCTCTATCCACTTTCACCTGAAAAGTCATCTTTGTTATTAATTTAATTTAAAAGCCTTATATTCTTTGAAGAGTAGCTAAGTAGATGCTCAAACTTAATTCTTTTAAAGGTGTTATAAACAACCTTGTATTATGCTGATTGAATATATTGGATGCTACTTTTAATTTAAAAGAAATTAAAGTACTTCTAATGTGTATGGTGGCCAATTTGCAATTATGATCTCCATGATGAGATTCTTCCAGGAAATGAGAGGTGCATTATAATATAAATGGAGTTGTAGATATGGTTGATTTTAATTTGTGACCTAGAGGTCAATAGTTATTGGGTGTAATAACGCTCTAGTAATGGGGAAATTCAAGGCACATTTGTATAACAAGAAATCATAACTAGTTATAGTTCAAGATGATGATTCTTCTTTTTGCCATTCTGATCTGCTGGGACTCTGACTTAGTTTTATAGACTTCATACTTCTAGTATTTAAGATATAATTTTACTAGACAAAGTTATAAGTTAGTCTTTGATTTATAATAAAGTTTATAATATCCACTATATTCAATGCAGTATTCTTTTATATGCTTGGTGCTTTAAATGCATGTTTTTATTGTCTTTTTGATAACTCTTGTATTGGTATTTGCTTGACACATTTTTATTTTCCTCATGATTGTCTTTCATACAATCAGATTTTCCTAGATTTATTTATTTGTTTATCCTACTAAATTAAAATGCACATTAAAATAGAAGAGATTCAGAACAGTGCTGTCCTTGTATAAAACTTTTTATTACACATCAAAAATAAAATTTATTGCAGGTTTAGAAACTAGAATTTCAAAGTTAAATGGAAATTACATAGAGAAAAATAACATAAAGTCTGATCTTTATTCATCATTGCCAGATCAGAACTTAATCTTCAACTTAAAATAATTCAAGTCACAATATACTCAAAATTTTTTTAAATGATTGAAAAAGATTTTACTATATAGATGTGCTTTACTCAAGAATAAAGATAAAATAATAAGGATAAAGATGATACCTTTTTGAGCAATTATGCTATGTGACAGAAATTTGTTAGGTGCTTATCATGAATTCTTTAGTTAATCTTTATAACTACCAGATGAGATAAGTACTATCTTTATATCCACTTACAAAATGTTAAATCTGAGACTTAAAAAGATTAAAAAGCTATATCGATGTCACATTCCTATTAAGTGGATTTAGATTTTTGTGGTTTAAAATCCTGTGCTCTCTGAACCACTCTTAGAAGTGTTGTCTTTGACCATCTGCTCAGACCTACTCAGAGTTTTGGGCTGTGTCACTTAAGAATCTGCACCTTAACACCTGCACTGGAATTCATGTTTCTCACACAGGACAACTGAAAAAGAAAAAAAGCAAATAATTAATGATGACTAGAATTTACTTCAAACAATATAATAATGGGCAGGATTGTAGACAGTTCAACAGTAGAATGGGATAAACTGTTCATTTTAGCAGAGAGCTGCCTGTTTTCAATCATGCATAAAGCAGTAAAGCCTTTTGACCATGCTTTCACTGGACATGTCTGTTTCTGAACCAGTTCTCCATATTTTTCAATGTGTATTGGAGCACTGGTACTTTTTTCTCTGTCAGCAATCTGAGTCAAATGGGATGTTGAAAGAAACAATAGCTTATGCTGTGAAAATCCACTTCGTTCTCTGTTACACTGAACATTGACTTGGTTTACTTTAAGGAGCTTTATAGAAATCTTCCTTTTCAATGAATACATCACAGAGCGTTTGTAGTTATAATTAGAATTTCTCTAATATCAGCTTTCCTTTCCTAGGGTTTAAACAGTTATTACAGGTGAAACAAATGTGTTTATTTAAGGTCTTTAATATTTAAATGAAATAATTTTTATTCACCATTTGGCATGAAAAACACATCCAGAAAACTGATCTTTTGGGGGAAAATTGAAAGAAATTAAAATCTAAGACCATCAAAGTAGAATTACATATTAAGTGTTTGAAATATGGATGAAAGAAATATTTAATGTGTCCAGGTTTTTAAATAGCTTCAGCGAAATTGTTGAATTTTGGATTATTGGAATTCTGAGAAAACGTATATATTATAAAGTAATATTGGGTAATTTATAGTAGGTTCAATATAAGTGTCTTTTTTAAAAAGGTGCAAATCACACTTTAAAAAAATAGAGAATTAAAAATCAAGAATGAGGTAAAAATAATAATAATCTTGGTTATGTAATTCACATCTAAAGCAATGGGTTTATTTCTTACCTACCAACCTGTGGCAACAACCAAGAGACTACTTCCTATTGACTAGAAAAGCTTTATCAAAAATAAATGAAATTTTAAGATAAGACTAATTCCCTCAGATCCTCAAGAGGCTTTCAGAATGGTCCAGCATTAAAATAAACAACAAACAAACATATTTTTACTTTATAAGAATAAGGATGATGTTCATTATAAAGTATAAATTAAAATATAAGCAAAGGGACAAGAAATAGAAGTTACCAATAGCCCACCAGACAGAAATGAATATCATTGTTTGGGGCATATTTATTCTCAATCTCTTTGTTTCCCTACCACCCTTCCAGGATTGGAATCGTAGTGGTATAATGTTTAATAAATTTATTCTTTGAATTTACGTAATTTCTATCCATATCATAACTTCCCATATCATAAAATAGTACTTTATAACTCTGCTTTCAAGGGCAATATTCTATTTGCCTATGATGATTTCAAACATATAATAATGAAACAGGTTATTCTTGGATATGACAACCAATAATGTAGAGGATAAAATGCAGGCTGTGGAAACTGACTGCATGAACTCAAAATATGATTCAGCCTCTTGCAAGCTGAATGACCTGTACTGTGTGATCTAATATATCTGTACCTCAGTTTCCTTAACTGAAATGTAGATAAAGATATTTGTTGCCTCATGGAATTGTTGTGAGTGAGACTTGGATGAGTTAATATAATACCAGTGCCTGGAATGTAAAACTGCTAAAATAAATAGTAGATGTTATGAAGGCAATAATAACTGTGATACATTCTTAATAGAATTTTCAAGTCAAAAATGCTGCTTAAGTTTTCAAATATTTGATGCCTATTGAGAAATTGCCCAGATTTACCCAATGGGATACTCAGATAGAGATATTTCTATCTATTTATCTAAGAATCTATCTATCTATCTATCTATCTATCTATCTATCTATCTATCTATCTATCATCTATCTATCATCTATCTAATCTATCTAATAAAATCAGTTCTTTTTCTAGAGAGGGTCTCTTTCTAGAGAGTTGAGGGTCAAATTTGACATACAAATTGTCAAAACTTATCTCTGAAGTTGGTAAACTAATATCCCAGGCATGAAATCCAGGTAAGTTTCTAATGTACTTTTTCATGCATTACTTATAACTTGTCCATAGCTACCGTAGCTTTATTATGATAAGCAACACATCCTATTTCAGTCCTTGGATAGTCATTTTTCTTCTTCACACCTGTGCTAAGTAGCACATGTTAGTGTAAGTTTATGAAGTTTATTCCAATTTGAAATGTACAATTAGCATATAGGTATTGTCTTAATTTGAATATTTAATATATTTATAAAGTAAACACTTTTATTTGGAACTATTTATTTTTTGAGATGTTTCTACTAGATGCTTGCATCCATTTGTTACTAATATTTTCAATCTTTCTCTGCAAGACATTTTACATCTTTTTTCACACTTTGTTAGTCTACTGGTCTTGACTTTTTTCTCTTTCATTTCTTTCTCATGGGAGTTGTGTATGGTATAAATGTATGTTTTTTTTGCATGTTTATATTTGTGTGTGTAGTCGAATCTATTAGTCTGTAAATTTATAAGCCTTTTTGATCTATAGTTGATATAAGATGAATGATTCTTTTTTAAATTTGGCATGTATAAATCATTATTATGATTTTGAGATTCAAAACCATTAATATTTTCTGACACACTTCTTTTGACTTTCAGCCTTCTAAAGAAACCCCATAATTTCCACAGTAGCTGTATAATTAGCACATATCACACACCAAAAAATGACATCCATTCTGCTAAATAATTTGCATGCATTCTTTAACTTATTCTTATAAGGAATTAGGTGTTGTATTATTCCATGTTTCCCAAATTAGAAAATTATATATACATTTTAAGCAGTGGTCCAATTCTATAGATCTAGAAATGGCAGGGCTGGGTCTTCCTGCCTTCTTAACCACTCTACTAGATGACCTCTTCTACACTATAGCACTGACATATTGGAACACTCACGAAGAGGTAGTAAATGAAGCTTAAAGAGTGTACACACCAGAACTGTATTGCTGGAAGAAATCTTTGAGATTATATGCCAAAGTGCTATACTTTTTCTGTGAGTAGACTTAGGTGAGGGCCAAAGTGGTTAAATATCTTATCTAACATATCGACTAGGTAATTTCAAGAAATTAAATGAAGCTCATTTTATGTAGGGCATGTTTGTTTTATGTCTTTGTATCTGCAATTAAAGCATCAGAATCCACTCAAATCATTTGTGTGTTTATCATGACAATATATAGTTTTATTCTTTATATATACATACATTTTAAGAAATTAATATTTTCTCAATTTTTTTCAGAACTCTTAATTATGGGCTCCTTTAAGATGAAAACAAACTATCAGTATCTAAAATGATGTTAGCTTTACTAAACATAATAAAATATAAAGAAATTTAGGTTATTATTTATAGTTAGTTATGTCTATACTATATGCTGTACAAAATATATGCACTCTTTTTTTTTCCCTCTGGCATTAGGTTTGAAAATAATGCAAAGATTTTCCTCAGAGAAACTCTATTCCAGATAGCTTAGTACATGCACACATACCTGCAGGTTTACCTTTCCCCTGTGGAAATTGATGCCATGGCTGTCAGCAGACCTACTGGAGGCTTGAACAATAATCACTTTTCAGAGCTGAAGGCAGAAAGAAAATTTCAGGAAGATATTCACTTGAACCATAGTTATAATTTTTGTATACGTTTGGCTCTCATATTAAGTGAATATATTTATAAGTAAACCAAAACTATATGTTCTGTAGCATAGGGCAGAAAAACAATTAAATGAAAGAACTCATAAGTAGAGTGCAACATTTTTCCTGGCCAAGATGGAAAACAACCTTCACTTTCCACCACTTTTAGCTTTTCTCTAGTTACTTCTCACTCTACTTAGCATGCCATCTCAAGTTTTATTTTTCTAGCGTTCACATTGTGCAATGATAAGGAGAAAGTAATGAGCTGGAGAAACAAAGATTTACTTTTTTATGCAAAAATACCCTTCAACTCTGAAGGAAATTATAAAACTAAATACTAAAATTTAATTAATCTCTTCAAATATATTTTTAATTTGATGTCTCTTGAGTAAACATGAACTTGGGGGTAAGAATGATATATGGAAAAAATAAGTGTCAGAATAAATAGCCTCACATTTATGATCCCCATGAATTTAATTCTCATAGGATCTATTCTTGCGTTAATGAGTATGAACAGCATTTTTTTTTCAATTTTGGAGAAAACTCAAAACATAGATTAGCCAGTTTATTTTGATACACTGTCTTCCTCATTTTTGCTTTGATCTCTTTGGCTACAAACTTCACTCTTGTTTTGCTCATTCCCTTCACAACATCTCCCATCTCATCCCCATAAATCTATATGTTGGCTTGATCACTTTTTTTCTGTCATTCGCTCACTGAAACTTTACTTGTAAAAACTGATGTTCTTTTATATGCCTGGGGAAGCGTGCATTTCAAGTATCCAGGCAAATCTATGTTAATTCTTAATTACTACCACTTATTGAATGTTTATCTCTACACTAAGCACTGTGCTATGTGTTCGAAAATTAGGAAGAATAGGCACTGTCTCTGCCTTTAGGACCCCAATCTCCCTGGTGCTTTTTAGTTACCTTTCTTAACATGTAAGAAGAATGAGAAGTCACAGGAGCTCTTCAGAGGAGACAGATATTTCTACAGAAAAAGTTGAGCTTTAAGGTTGTGCAAACAAAGCCAAAAGAAAAAAGAAAGAAGAAGAAGAAGGAGAAGAAGGAGAAGGAGGAGAAGAAGGAGGAGGAGGAGGAGGAGAAGAAGAGGAAGAAGAAGAAGAAGAAGAAGAAGGAGAAGAAGAGGAAGAGGAAGAGGAAGAAGAAGAAGGAGAAGAAGCAGCAGCAGCATACAGGAGCACCAAATACTGTGAGGGGAAGCTCTGTGCTCTATAGACATCTGTGATCCAGTGACTAGAGGTGTTTCTGACAAGAGTAGGTGCTCAAAAAGTATTACGTTGTGTTGGCTGTGCCAATAGTACTGATTCAGAATGTATTAGAACTCAGAACAAATAGAAAATATTGGCTGGGCATGGTGGCTAATGCTTGTAACCCCAACACTTTGGAAGGCTGAGGCGGGAGCATTGTTAGGCCAAGAGTTTGACACCAGCCTGGGCAAAATGGCAAGACCTCATCTCTATGAAAAACAAAAAAAAGTAGCCAGGCATGGTGGTGTGTGCCTCTGGTCCCAGCTGCTGGAGAGGCTAAGGCAGGCACATTTCTTCAGCCCAGGAAATCAAGGCTGCAGCGAGCTGTGTTTGCACTACTACACTATGGCTGGGGCAACAGAGTGAGACCCTGGCTCACAGGATCAGTCAAAAAAGACATGTTTGAGGATATTTTATTTAAAATGAAGATGGAGCACATAGATAAGCGGAGATGGGCAAAAGGATATTTAATGAAGAATTTAGAGTTTATTATAAACGCAAATGGGAGTTGACTCAGGATAACCTAACTGCTTTAACCATTTTATTATTATACTTAAAGACAACAAAAACATGCATTTACCTATATTGTAAGCGTTCTAGTGTAAATTATTTTATCATATTAACTCAGCCCATAAGAAGAAGGACTCAAGCTTGTATGAAGCTAGGAGGAAATGTAAAAGTACACTGTACTAAAGGAAGGCAAAAGAGTTACAGATATTTTTTAAGATGTAAATACTTTTTATTTTTATGCAAATTCTTCATCAAGAACACTTTTACTGCGAGCCAAGAGTAGGTATAATACCGAAAAGTATCCAGAGAGTCACAGAAATTCCTTTCCTCTTCCTTGTTTTTAAATGAATGGATAAGGAGAAAAATTGAGAGGGAATTCAAGAAGTTAATATGCCAATCTGATAAATGGCATTATGCCAAAACAGCACTTTGTGTGAACAACTGAAAAAGAACCTGTAAATGCAAACAATGGGAACAGCTGAAGGCAAAGGAAGGTAGGAATTTCATTATAACCATGACATTGTTATTGGAGACGCAGCAGCCATAGCTGATTATGCCTTTGTGCAATAAGTAGATGTGGTGGTTTAATTTGGAGTAAAAGCACAAAGTCAGCCTGAGGTTAGCAGAGTGGGTTTTGGGCTCCCTCCCAAGCTCTAATACTAAGAATAAATGGTGTGTGCTGACTAAGTGGGAGAGGCAGCAATGATCACGTCTTTAAATAGACAGGAAAAATATGTTTTTGAGATCAGCTTCCTGTGGAGAAAACAGTTATTATGAGGGAGTGTCAATGTAAAATTACAATTCAGGATTGCTTTTATGCAAAAACTATGAAAAAGGAGAAATTTGTTTTCAAAGTCTCCAGCCTTCTCTGTACAATTCTATTTGCCCCTTGGTGCTATACACTTAAATGGAAAATAACATTTTGTCACAGACAATTTGATACAGTCAATATGAGGTACCGTTAGATGCAAAGAATGACTCCAGATTGAATAAAGCAAGTACAAACTCAGCAGATATCCACATCCTACCTCGAGCTTGTACCTCATCCCATATCTCAGCTTCTTCCTATTCCATCCTTCTGAGGAGAGACCACAGTGTGAGAATGGTTTCTACTTTTTGCATAATTTTTACAAACCTGCAAATACAAATGTTTATAAAAATACTTAGGGAATATGTGCAAGTGACTATTTTTATTATTTTAGTCAAGAAAAAAACCCCTCACGTTTGAAGATCTTTCACACTGGCTAGACATCGGAGAAGAAATGAATGGCAGCATTTAACTATTGTAATCTCTTTTTTTAAAAAAATAGATGAACTGCCCAAAAGCATTTGTTGTATATATTGGAGGGCTTATATATTTTGTATAACAAAAGTGCTTATAACTTAGCAGAAAAATCAGGAACCCAATAGAGAAGAGAAATCAAGTATGCACACTTAATTTTTTTAAAATAGAGATAAATGAAGCCTTATGGGCAATAAAAATACAACATTCAAAGTCAAGCAAAATTTTAAACATATGATTATTTTAACATTAGATTGTCAGTTATAGAAAAATCTTCAATATTCTAGATATATTATTAATTTAAAAATGATATTCATAGGAAAATATGAGCAGTTCCCACTTGAATATGAATAGATTTCAGTTATGGAAGCTCACACAGTTGTGAGTATGCATGTCGTAAATATAAATATATCCATCTATCATCTATCTATCTTCATATTGGTCTGGATGGATATACATTAAACAGTTTAAATCAAGATATTTCTGGGAAGGTGAGTGGGGATGTAAGGTGGTTAAGAAGAACTTCTCTTCAAAGTTTATTAGCAGAGTTGGACACCCGTTTAAATCAAAACTAAGTTTCTGCATGAAATTAGTTCTGTCATGAGAGATGGGACCAGCTTGTTCATGGCTTGAAACAGTTCATGAAAACAAATTGTGGGCAACAATTTCTAACTCCATATTCAGTGGCACCATGTTAATAGTTCCGTGTTGGGAGACTTTACAACAAAACAATCAGCAAACAAATAAGAGGCCTACAAACCAGTTTTTTTAAATCTTTCTATCTCTGTCTTTGTATCTGTCTTTTAATCTGTAGAGATGATTGTTAAACATTTATAAGGATACCACTGGATGGGATCATTGAAATTGGCTTGGACACATCAGGATTTACCTTTCAGCAGTGAGTTATATGTGACGAGTACCATTAGTAAACTCAGAATTCTGAGCAATTTCAAATGATGGGTGAATATTAGATAGTGATAGTATCTGATATTATGATATAGAGATCAAGAATGGTGATAATTTCCATGCATTTTGGATGAGGCTAGAACATTTATATTACCATATTCAATTCTAGATAATCATTTTAAGTGTAGCATTGATAAGCTAGGGAATTCTGATGGAGTAAAACAAAGCTGCCATGTCTAGAAAGCATGGCACATAAATGACTATGCAATGTTATGGCAATGCTTAAACTGAAAGAGGCAAGTATCATGGAGGATATCATATCATTCATTGAAGGTCTATTATTTGGAAGAGTGCTCTGACTCCTTCTAGGGTGTGGGGATGGAATGTGCATATACACACTGACATGGAAGCCAAACTCTACTCTTGGTAACTCAGGTATGATTAAATGCATAATTTTTATGGACTTGACTAGTTTTAGCTCATTTGAAATATTTTTTGTCTTTGTACCTACATATATAATTTAAAAACCATCACGTCTTATTACATTTTTGTACTCATAAACTCTTTAAATTAAATCAGAAAAAATAAAGTATAATTTAATCTCATAAATTTTCTTCTTTATAATCCAATTCTCTTCAACTCCTATGCTTTTTGACATTAATAATTCAATATGTAAATTTAATCCTTGCATTACTATAAAAACACATTAGTCTTTATACTTTGTTGTGCAACCTAGTTCTATGTAGACTATGACTGAGTATTTTGTATATTAATATCAAATATCATTGAAGATTAAACGGAGCAAACATATTTTTATGCAGCATTCCTGTGAGAACACTGAGAGAAACAAAAATGGTTTAATATACTTGTTACCACACACGGGAAACCACTGCCACATTCAGGACCAGAAGGCTGTTCTTTACCCCTGTTTTTCATTAGCTTTTCCTTTGCATTCTTATCATAGCAGGAATAGCAAGTGCTGTGTCATTCATCCTTATTCTGTTAGGGTGTTGACATCTCACTTTTGTGACAAAGTGAGATAAATGAAAAGTAGAACCCATGAACATATTGTCATGCTTCTTAATAAAATGACAATATCATATTTTTCACTTATTATGCACATTGTGCCATACAAATTGTTCACATTTTGACTAGGCAAACATAGAGAGTTCCATTTTTTTGTTTTAATCACAAGTAAAAAGGCTGAATCTAAGTGATTTATGGAGAGGTGGTCAAAGCCTCCATTTCGATTAGGGAGTTTGGCATCTAAATAAGATTTCACTTGCTAATATTCTTCTTTCTCTGCTAGTATATGTAAAGAAGAAAACAACAAAACATACATTTCTTCTCCTTTTCCTTTTAAACCAACCAACAGTATTCAAGTATTTGTTGATCACCAACTCAGGACCAAATTTTGGGTAGAGGACTCAGAATAAAAGAACTATAAGCCGTGCTATCTGTTCACAGTGAGCAAATGTGAAAAAATCTACTCTGTATTCCTGGAAATTTTTCCTTTTTCTTTTTGAAGAGGAAAATCTGTATAGTTAAATAACAAAACACATCTATACTCTAACTCAACAAGTATGTTAAAAAAAAACTGGAGTTAAAAATGAAAAGATCTAGAATCAAGTTAGAGTCTACAAAAGTGTGTGAGGAAACCACCTCACACAAAATTCACATCTGTACTTTCAGAATGAAGAATATAGCTATCTTTCTAATAAAGTTTGAACATCAAATAAGATACATACAATGCTAGCTTAAAAACATATATATGTGATCTATAAAGTCCTGTCATGTATGTATTTTCCAAACACATATAGACTATTTACCATGTTCTAAATATAATGTAGTATGTGAACTTTGGTTCAATTAATAATTATTGAAGGTTTCCCAAGTACTAAGGCACCGTACCAACTCATTATCCTGTAATTTAACCCTCTGATTCTCTGAACAAGCATTGGAGCACATATTCTCTTATTATAGACAAGGAAACTGTAGATCAGAGATGTAAAATTATTTGTCAAAAGCTAGTAATAGCTGAAACTAAATAATGTTAGCAGATTATCAATCCAGTACACTTTGTGTACACACACTGCCCAAGTATTTGCTCACATACATATGAGCAAATATAAAACACAACTTTTACTTTAAAAGAGCTTGAGTTCTACTTAAAGAGGAAATTTATAAAAAAAAGAAAAGTTTAAAACAAGAATCCAAGGCATTTTGCCATTTTTTTTTTCTGAAGAAGAAATAAAAGATGCAGAAGTTCTAAGGAAAAAGAGATTTCTGGGGGCTGAAGAGGTCAGAGAAAACAGTAAAAGCTGCAATCCAAAAGCTTAATAGTATTTTTAATAGCAAGATGGGGCTAAGAAAAAACAGTTGAAGCAGAGGTAATGGTGAAAATATGGATTCCTAAGGACCGTGAGAGGAGGAAATTGTTAATAGATACGTTAGTGTAAAATATAATTACTCTTTCACATGCTTCGTCAAGTATAACAATGGAAAAGAGATCACAAAAGTGCACTTTAAAACTACTTTCAAGTAGAAAAACTCCAGTTGCAATGAATTTCCAAAGTATATACTTCATATAATTGGAATAAAAGAAAAATATTAGGTTGGTTGAAAAGTAATTGTGGTTTTGCCATTGAAAGTGATGGCAACAACCTTACAGTCATTCACTTTTCCTATTTGCTTTTACCTGTGATACACACACACATTTAAATATTTCAAGAGAAATTTTCTTAATAAATTCATGATTATAATTAAAGAAAACATTTGTTGTTGCCACTGCATAATTTTCTCACTTCCAATCAGCCAGTTTGAACATTTATTCTATTCCAACGATCCTCCAAATATAGGACTGCCATTCAATAATGCTATGGGCCATGCAGACTGACATGCTGTATGTAACAGCTAAATACATATCTTACATTGTATTCATTATTACAAGTCAATAACAGGAAACAACAGAGGACATAGTCATTGGGGGAAGGGTTAAAAATAATTGATCTTTATCATTATTTAAATTCTAAGCATACATTGAGATTAATAATTAGGTCAATTTCAGAATATTTACTTGTCAAATTTTCTTGAAACCTTCAATCTTAATTTCTCTATATTTTTTTTTGTCTGGAATTTGCAGCTTTAAAAATCAGAAACCCATCACTTCCTATGAATTAGGATTCATATAGATGTTTAACAGTTACACTAAAGCCTAGTTTACTCATCTGTGCAATGTGTTGAATAATATTCAACTTGTATCTCACACATTATCCTCAGGCACTACTAATTCATGCTAATAATATGCTTCGAGATTCAAAGGTAAAAGGTGTTATGTAGAGATACATAAAAACCCTAATTTGAAAATTTTAGTTTTCTATATTCTTAACTAAACAAAAAATAACAATAAAAATAACATAGACAAGTTTACAAGGAAAGTGTTGTCAGTCCAAATGGCCTGGATTTCTGGCCAATATATCAAAGAACTTTGATCTATATAGATAGATATATATAGAGAGATGTATATGTATATATAACATAGCATATGCAATTATATATATATGTAATATAAAATAAAATTTATTTAAGATAAAGTGAGTGAATAGTGAATGTGAAATTGGGAATATTTATGTTTTTATTCACTCTGCTTTTTCTTTACTTTCATATTTCTTTTTAAGAATTAGAGGTTCTAGTCTTAGTAAAACACTGAAAAGATGCTTATCCCAAGTTTGAGAAAATGCAATCCTGTAGAGAGTTTAATGTGAATATAAAAATAGCATTAAAACGATTTTCATCATAAATGAATAAAGATGTGAGTCTTGAAATCTAGCTGTTAAAAAGACTTTGTGTTACAAATAATTCAATTATGTATATATGTTTTAAAAATGTGATTCTTAAAATAAAATTAAGATCTATTTTAGTTTTGTTAGGCTACTCTGACCACTGAAACGATACTATTTAAAATATTACTACTAGTTCTGAGACAGGGTAATATATAAGAATACATGTAGAAAAGTGGTCATATTTGAAGCAAAACAAAAATGATGCTCATATTTTGAAATTTAATTTCTAAATACAGTGGTGTGTTCAATTTCATATAAAGGACCAAATAATAGATAATAGAGTGATTTAAGGCATCCTTAAATGCATGAATATTTATGACCTATTCACTGTCAAACATTGCTGTTTGTGTGTACTCGAGGATTTCAATCTTGATATGAAAAAATAGTATAACTTTTATCATATTATTTTTGTTTTATTCTGCTATTTTTCATTATTATTTAGATGTAATATGTATGTCCTATATTAGCATAATAATACAAGTAAATAACTTATAAATAAATAATTAAACATTCATTGAGATACAAGAAGTTAATTTTTTTGCTGGTAAAGTAATAAAGTTAAGAGATTCTTACTCTAGAAAATCTCTTACACACCACTCAGGACACAGCAAATTTAAGGGAATTCTAAAAATCTTTTTGTTGTATAGGAGTTAAACCAAATTTAATAAAAGTGATAGATGCACTACTTACCCCTATAGAGAAAAAAGAAGAGATACACATTTCATTAATTTTAATTTTAAAAATGGAATAAAAAATGTCTTAATATAGATATATGCAGAAATATCCTAGTAGCCAGGACAAAGTTAATTAAAAATATGATAGATTTCTCTGATTATTTTTCTTTCTTTTTCTAAAATAAAAGTTTGAAAAAAATAAAATTTAAATTAAAAAATTAAAATTAGACCAATCTCAACTTTTATAAATGACTTACTTATGATAATACTAGGCCTAATGATAAAAGAAAAGGCAGGATAGTGTTTAAGATTCCTTTATACATTTTAAAACCTTTTTTAATTTTAAAATTATGAGAAAAATGTTCTTATTCTTTATCTGTTTTGTCTTAGTCCTCTTGATAAATTTTAAAATTCATTTTCCTGTGTCTATGTTTTTTTGAGGCAGAGCAGTATAGTTCTTTTTTTTAACTTTTATTTAAGTTCAGGGGTAGAAGTCAAGGTTTGTTACATAGGTAAACTTGTGTCATGGGGTTTCTCATACAGATTATTTGCTTACCCATGTATTAAGCCTAGTACCCATTAGTTATTTTTCCTGATCCTCATCCTCCTCCCACCTTCCACTCTCTGATAGGCCCAAGTGTCTGCCATTCCCCTCTATGTGTGCATGTGTTCTCATCATTTAGCTCCCACTTATAAGTGAGAACACGCAGTAGTTGGTTTTCTGTTCCTGTGTTAGTTTGCTGAGGATGACGGCTTCCAGCTCCATCCATGTCCCTGCATTTGTAAATCGATTTGCCAAGATGCTCACACTTGAAAAAAAGAACTACTTTCTAGCATGTAAACTAGAAAACAGTTCAGTTTGAGTCCTGAAAAAAGTCATAAACAGGTTTGCTAGGGTTAAATTAAATTTTTCCTGACTCATTTCCTGGTCAGATTCATTATATTTAGCTTAGTATATCTTCTGTAAATGTTACTATTTTCTTTTTTTGTATACATTTTGTGAACTGTTATTTATTAGGTAGATATTTTAAGCAAATGCCTCATATTAAGCACTAGGATTAGCCACCCTGTTTTACTGTTGGGAAAATGGCTCTGTAATCACAAAAAAAATACTGCTGACATAGTCATTGGTATGGTCTTTATTACCTGAAAATATTTAAAGGATAGACTGTCTAGAAAAGACTGGAAATTTTTGGATATATTTTATTTCATAAATATATTACATTTGGGGTAAATAAAAGACTACTCAAACTAAGTTTACTTTTTCTGAAATAGAATAAAATTGCAGAAATTATTGTAGAGATAAAGCATGATTTTGTATTTTAGGATGCACTTTCCATTGAAATATGTACATTTATTCATTGACCTAACCATGACTTGAGGGCAGGAGCCTGTCTGCCAGTGGACAGTGAAAAGTAAAGTTCTATAATTGTCACTAGGATTGCATTTCTTCTTCTCCTCCTTTTAAGGAAAAAAAAATTTAAAAAGTTTTGTAAAAAACCTAACAAATACCATTTCCGGATGATTTACATTCTGTAAAAATAGTGACAATTCAGTATTAAAACAGATTATGATCATGATGATAAATACATTTTATACATTATTCTATTTTTTCCCCATGCGATAAGTATCAGAATACAAATTAACTAGCTTTTTGAAGAGCTATAAAACTGTGTGGCATTAAATAGAGAGTTTAATATCAGGGTTAGATTACTGCTCAGAGTTCACATTTTAGCCTAATTTTAGATAAGAAACTAGAATTGCCCTCCCTGCGGTATGTTCAACAGGGTTACAGTAATCACTTACACTTCTAAGATACCCTGAAAGAAACTGTCTTAAAGATGAGTCTGCAATACATCGTATAAATAAGTAGATCTTGGCTCCTAGAGTTAGCATTTACCATTTTCAGTATTGTGACAGAGTCAATGTTTTGCTGCTTAGTTCTAGCCTATCATGCTTCCTTGGCCAACTTAGCAACAACCCTTTTGAACAACAACAATCTTATTTATAGGTCTCACTTTGGTTCTTTTGAAAAACCTATTAAAATAGATCCTTCCAATATATCCAAATACTACTCTCTTTTTCTGAGCTCAGCAAAGTTTCTAATTTTTTATTGTGCCATTTTTCATTAGTTTCTAGTTTTTGTTGATTGTGCCAGCTCAGTTTCATACTCAGAAACAAGAAGTACACCACCTATCCATTAGTTTAATAAAGAATTCTTTCAGCACCTACTCCGTACATTACATTGCACAAGACCAAAGGAAATATAGAATATCCTAGTAACAGATAACCTCACTGGCAACCATTTAAAAAATCTAGTTAACAGTTAAGACATTACATGAATAAACAATTTGTAATCTAAATATGATAATATGTATGTCAAGTATCTGATCACAAATGTAATCTATATATATAAAAAAATCAAATATTTAAATAGCTGAAGGAGCTGTAAACAATATCCCATAAAAAGTTTCAACATCATTTATCCCATTTATTTTATAATTTTAGATATTCAATAAATGTTTATTAATTAGAATTTAATCCCCATCCCTGCTGCCTTAATTGTCTAGGGATTGCAGGGTACCCTATTTTCTTCCATTATGTTTCAGGAACACAGAGCAAATTACATATGCCTGGCAATTGAATATGCTGAAAACAGCTTTACTAATCAGATATGGCCACAGTCCAAACACATTCACTTGACATTTACCCTGCAGGTCTATAACTTTCAGCTTCCCCAGGTGAGTGACATTCAGGATGTAATTGGTCATTGAATTTTCTGAGCTCGTATTATTGTAAAATGTGGCTATATGAAGAGAATAACACAGAAATAAATCTATTTTGCAAGTTCCATTTTAAATGGTATTAGATGAATATATAAATAAAAATGTTGTATTTGCAGGGCAACCTAGCCTTTCCATTTCTATACTTACATCTGCAAATGAGGACTGTTTGAAACTCTATAGTATCCTTCTTCCCATTAGAAATGTGCCCAAAGGCTTCCAAGTAATAGGAACATCCAATATACCTAATAAATAATAGATGTTCCTATTGACTATGGTTAATGTAGACTTAGTTCTCCTTCAGGATATGGAAAAACATTCAATTATTAATTTTTAAATGACACTCAAGAAATAAACTGTTTTAGGTTTAATCAGTAACTCTTAAAAGACCTATTGTTAAAAGATTGTATTATTTTCTAATATGTTTTTCTATACATGTTTCAAATAACTTGTGATACCCTCTTACCTCTACATTTGGGATCTCCCAAAGGCTAGTAGTATCTATCTCAGAGACTACATCTTCCATGTCTCTTGAAATGATTTCATCCTGTAAATTTTGGATTTTAGATATTGTAAACATTTTGGTGTAATATGTATATTTTTATATTGGGCATCTTCGCATTTTGTATTGTCTGAAAATTGAATTCCTTACTTCTTTAGAGATTTTAATATTAATAAAGTTTCTAATTTGCTCCTCTTTGTGATTCCAGTTTGAGTTGTAAGGTATCCTATATTTTAGATATTTTTGTATATTTACAAGTAAGAAGTCATTCATATTATGCTTAAATGGGACTGGAAAATCATTTATTTTGTAATTACCATACATTTAAAAGATGCTGTTAAAGGCCTTATGAAATCACAACAAATGCCACGCAATTCCCAGACTTAAGAACCTTCAGTGCATTTCCATTGCACACCCAATGCATTCCTTGTGATTTTCAATATCTTCTCTGCATTTTGTTTGCTCTGGGCTCTTTATTATTAGCTTTTTGCACCTTACCCCAGAAAAAAACAGCAACGATTCTTGTTTTTCACACTGACCTACTTTTTAGCCCTTCCTCCATTCTCCACATGCCAAAACACATTTCAGTTCTATTTCATAATAAAATTTTGCCCCTCACTCAGTTCCAGGCACTGTTCTATATTCTTTGTCTGTAAGTCATTTATGTCCTCAGATAAATTGATGAAATTGTGATTATTCCCACCTTCATTTCATGGATGAAGAAACTGAGGCACAGTGAGGTTAAGTAATGGCTGGCAGTCATCCAACTAGTTTGTGGCAGAACTAATATTTGAATTCAAACAATAATCTTCTAGGATCTATACTCTTAGCTACCATACCACTTGTAACTACCAGCTCCGAGGAATAGTCATCTTACAAAGTATCCTAAACCCTGTAGACAAAAGTGACTTTACACTAGATTGTTTGTATCCTTTGGGTTTCTATGTTTGCTTTTATTATAATTGAAGTTATGTTGTAATAATTAGCTTATGGGAAATAAACTAGTGAAATATTATTCATCTATTTCATAACCAGGTATTAAAGCAACAATGAAAATTTGAAAGTCCCCCTTAGGACTCTTCCCACCCCTTGCTCACCCACAAATATTCACTCTTTTAGCAATTTTTTTTTTCTAAATAAGAAAACCATAGAAGCTCCTTAAATAAAAGAGGATATAGAATAAAAACAGGTGAAAGAGTGCTTAGAAAGCATTATTCAGTAAGAAGTTTCAAAACTGTATAGTTTTGTCTTTTTTTAATGAGAAAGTTAATTATAGAAAAGTCACAAAATGAGGACTGAAATACTCGTTTGATGTTGATCAATATTACAGTTTTGGCCATATTCACATGTAAATGTCTTCTTTGTTCATTTATCCAGTACCTTTGCTTATATTTTGTACATCTTAGGTACAAAAGGTTTAGCATCTATTTACCAAATTCTTTCTGATTTCTGGGAAATAGGATAAATACTTCTCCTTATTTACCCTAAATTCACTGAATGCTTATTTTTCTTTCTTCAAACTTACATTTTTTTAAACCAAAGCTGACTAGTAGAGATTTAGATACCAGAATGTTTGCTGATTGTAGACAGAAGATTTTTAAAAAGCAACAATATGTTATTGATTATCTGGTTCAGTTAGGTCTGAGAACAATAAAAATTCAGAAAGTATTAAAGAATGGAATTTGGAAGCATGTGGCACACAGTAGTAAAACAACTAATTAAACAGTAACTCATGGTCACCTAGAATTGAAGGGCACAATTCAAGACTGAAAATCAAGTGGCCATTGATTAAAACTAATAAAAAATCCTTCATTTAAAAAATAAAAAAAAGGCATAACTGTTTGAAGAAGATGAGGAAATAAGAATTGGAAGCAGATTGGATATCTCGAATAATTACAGAGAACCAGAAAAAAAGACATGGACAAACCAAAACATCTACAATTTACTCTCAAGGTGCAGATTGAACCCCAGGAACTTTCTGTAACTCTGATGAAAGAGTTTCTTAATTCATGAAACCGTAAAGTCAAGGTAACCAAAATCTACATGCAAAATCTGAATTGGTTGCTTGCCAAGTTGCAATGTTACTAGGATTTTCAGTTTCACAAAATTTAAAAATAAAATTGAGGGTATTTAAGAATATATATAGAGAAGCTAAGAATTGAAATGAGACTCCTGGTAACTCATCTCCCAATCCCCAGAGGGGATTGCCACCTGAACCGCTGGTTATTATTCAGGAATGATTTCTTGCATTAGGTGCAGATTGTACAATTACTTAATGTAAGTGAACTACGTGTGAGGGAAATCTAATTCTCCTTCCAGAAATCACTCTTTCTAACCTTTCTCTCCACCACTGCTCATTGCTTCTATACATACAACTAGAATCAGGACTTCTATATTCTGTTGGCAAATTAAAGTTAACAGAAAAAGTAGAAGGTTGACCTCACAAAAGTATTTCAAGACTTTTCTCTTTTATATAAGCAAATTTTAAGATAATATATGTGGGAGTGGAGTTTGGAAGTACAGACAAAGAGCAAAGAAGATAATTGTAGATGAAGGTAAATTTATAGAAATGGTTGAATTTACCTGTCATTCTATATTTAAATGTACTAGCACATTATTATTATCATGGGAAAAATACTGACAGCTATAGCTCATATTTGTTGAATATTTCTACAAGGCACTTTTTTTAATTTGTGTTCTAAAATTAGTGTTTTTACATATAGTAAAATTCACTTTTTGTGTATAGGTCATTGAACTACAACTAATGCATACAATCATGTAACCACCCCACAATCAACGTATAGATCAGTTTGAACATTCACCCCTCAAATCCCTCATAATCCCCTTTGGTAATCAGTCCATCCTCTAACTTCTGGCCCATGGGAGCCACCCATCAATTGTATGATTTTGCCTTTTCTGGAATGCCACATAAGTGAAATCATGGAATAATGGGCCTTTTTAGTCTGGCTTCTTTCACTTAGCATAATCAATTATGTTTTTGCATCTACAAATATTTATTTTCTTTTTATTCCCTATAAGATCCTATTCTATGAATTATCAGATTGAAAAAAAATCACCAGTTGAAGATATTTGAATTTGTTCCATTTTTTAGAAATTATTTAATAAGAATAAAACTACTAAGAACAGTTGCATACAGGTTTTATGAACATAGTTTTTATTTCTCTCAGTTAAACATTTAGGAGTAGGATTTCTGTTTTTTATTATACTGTAAGTTTCAGGGTACATGTGCATAACGTGTAGGTTAGTTACATATGTATACATGTGCCATGTTGGTGTGCTGCACGCATTAACTCATCATTTAACATTAGGTATATCTCCTAATGCTATCCCTCCCCCCTCACCCCACCCCACAACAGGCCCTGGTGTGTGATGTTCCCCTTCCTGTGTCCATGTGTTCTCATTGTTCAATTCCTACCTATGAGTAAGAACACGTGGTGTTTGGTTTTTTGTCCTTGCGATAGTTTGCTGAGAATGATGGTTTCCAGCTTCATCCATGTCCCTACAAAGGACATGAACTCATCCTTTTTTATGGCTGCATAGTATTCCATTGTGTATATGTGCCACATTTTCTTTATCCAGTCTATCACTGTTGGACATTTGGGTTGGTTCCAGTCTTTGCTATTGTGAATAGTGCCACAATAAACATATGTGTGCATGTGTCTTCATAGCAGCATGATTTATAATCCTTTGGGTATATACCCAGTAATGGGATGGCTGGGTCAAATGGTATTTCTAGTTCTAGATCCCTGAGGAATCGCCACACTGACTTCCACAATGGTTGAACTAGTTTACAGTCCCACCAACAGTGTAAAAGTGTTCCTATTTCTCCACATCCTCTCCAGCACCTGTTGTTTCCTGACTGTTTAATGATTGCCATTCTAACTGGTGTGAGGTGGTATCTCATTGTGGTTTTGATTTGCATTTCTCTGATGACCAGTGATGATGAGCATTTTATCATGTGTCTTTTTGACTGTGTAAATGTCTTCTTTTGAGAAGAGTCTGTTCATATCCTTCACCCACTTTTTGATGGGGTTGTTTGCTTTTTCTTGTAAATTTGTTTGAGTTCATTGTAGATTCTGGATATTAGCCCTCTGTCAGATGAGTAGATTGCAAAAATTTTCTCCCATTCTGTAGGTTGCCTGTTCACTCTGATGGTAGTTTCTTTTGCTGTGCAGAAGCTCTTGAGTTTAATTAGATTCCATTTGTCCATTTTGGCTTTTGTTGCCATTGCTTTTGGTGTTTTAGACATGAAGTCCTTGCCTATGTATATGTCCTGAATGGCATCGCCTAGGTTTTCTTCTAGGGTTTGCAGATGACATGATTGTATATCTAGAAAACCCCATCGTCTCAGCCCAAAATCTCCTTAAGCTGATAGGCAACTTCAGCAAAGTCTCAGGATACAAAATCAATGTGCAAAAATCACAAGCATTCTTATACACCAATAACAGACAAACAGCCAAATCATGGGTGAACTCCCATTCACAATTGCTTCAAAGAGAATAAAATACCTAGGAATCCAACTTATGAGGGACGTGAAGGCCCTCTTCAAGGAGAACTACAAACCACTGCTCAATGAAATAAAAGAGGATACAAACAAATGGAAGAACATTCCATGCTCATGGGTAGGAAGAATCAATATTGTGAAAATGGCCATACTTCCCAAGGTAATTTATAGATTCAGTGCCATCCCCATCAAGCTACCAATGACTTTCTTCACAGAATTGGAAAAAACTACTTTAAAGTTCATATGGAACCAAAAAAGAGTCCACATGACCAAGTCAATCCTAAGCCAAAAGAACAAAGCTGGAGGCATCATGCTACCTGACTTCAAACTATACTACAAGGCTACAGTAACCAAAACAGCATGGTACTGGTACCAAAACAGAGATATAGATCAATGGAACAGAACAGAGCCCTCAGAAATAATGCCGCATATCTACAACCATCTGGTCTTTGATAAACCTGAGAAAAACAAGCAATAGGGAAACGATTCCCTATTTAATAAATGGTGCTAGGAAAACTGGCTAGCCATATGTAGAAAGCTGAAACTGGATCCCTTCCTTACACCTTATACAAAAATTAATTCAAGATGGATTAAAGACTTAAATGTTAGACCTGAAACCAGGAGTAGGATTTCTAAGTCATATAGTAAATATATGCATAACTTATATTTACTTATAAAGTTTCATAACTTTATAGCTAAGAAACTGTAGAACTCTTTTCCATTTAATGTTAATTGTGGAAATAATTAGATGTAGGTATACCATTTTATTAGCATTTTTCCCCTCATTTTTTGTTTATCTGCTCCACTTCCGTATCATATTTAGATTATTTAAATATTTCTAGTACCCATTTTAATTGATCTACTCGATTCAGACCATACCCTTTGTATTTTTTGTGATCATTATATTTAAACCTCCACTGTCTACCCAAAATGTATATTTATCCCTGCAAATAAAATATATAAACATTAAAACTGTATAAGTCCCTTTAGCCTCTCCACATAATATGACAGTTGCCATATGCATTACATCTACATATACTGATAATTCTCCAAGACAATTTTATAATTGTTGCTTTTTACGATAATATAAATTTTAAAAAATAAGAGGAAAAAGATAATATATTGTATTTACCCAGATATTTGCCATTTCTGTTGCTGTTTGTTCCTGTAGTTCCAACTTCTCTCTGATCATTCCCCTTTGGCCTAAAGAACTTATCGGATAAGTATTTTTTTCAGAACAGTTCAGCTGTTGAGAAATTATCGAAGATCTCATATTTGAGAAAATACCCACTTCATAGCTAAAGGTAAAGAATGTTTGTTTGCTGTTTCTTGTCTTCCAACTAGTGAATTACTTCATTGTTTCTGATAGAAAACTGCAGTTATTCTAATAATTGTTCTTGTATATGTACTGTGTCATTTGTTTTCTTGCTGCTTTTATTATTTCTAATCTTTGACTTTTTAGTGGTTTGTTTATGGTGTGTTTGGGTGTAGTTTTACTTGAGTTTATTCTGTTTGAGGTTGTCTGAGCTTCTTAAATACATATTTTATTTATGTTTTAAAATTTAAGAAATTTTGATCCATTACTTCTTCAAATATTTTTCTGCACCAATTTCCTTCTTCTTTCCTCCAGGAAATCAAATAATAAAAATATTAATTTTTTAATATTGTCCTACAGTTTATTTCTGATAATCTGTTTTTATTTTTTGTTTTTCCAACATTTTCTGTCTTTTCTTGAGATTAGATAATTTATATTCATCTATTTTCAAGTATACTGATGCTTTTCTCTGCCATCTCCATTCTGTTATTGAGCCTAGCCAGTGAATGCATTGTTATGGATATTATATTTTTTAGTTTAACAATTTTCATTATGGTTTTTCATTTTTTTAGTGGTTAACTCTGCTGGGAACTCCTATCTTCCCATCCATTGCAAGAATATTTACATTTATCTCATGTTGAATGGTTACAATAGGCACTTTGAAGTCTTTGTGCAGGTTTGACATTTGTTTATTGCATTTTCCTTTGAGAATTGTCAAGAGCTGAGTTGGAGAGAACTGAGCTCCCAGGTATTTAGGTGGTCAGTTAAAGCAACAAGCCAAAATGAAAGTAACAGTAAAGCTTTTAGTCACTCACTGATATAGCAAAAGCAGGAGGCTGAACAGGAAAAAGCACTAGGACCTCCAGTTTTCTTTTTTTCTTTTTTTTTTGAGATGGACTCTCGCTCTGTCGCCCAGGCTGGAGTGCAGTGGCGTGATCTCGGCACTCTGCAATCTCTGCCTCTCGGGTTCAAGCAATTCTCCTGCCTCAACCTCCTGAGTAGCTGGGATAACAGGCACACGCCTCCTATTTTCAGTAGGGACAGGGTTTCACCATGTTGGTCAGGATGGTCTCGAACTCCTGACCTCGTGATTCACCCACCTCGGCCTCCCAGAGTCCAGTTTTTTATTTTTCCCCACAGAATGGTATTGAGTAAGGGTCAGGTCTATCAGCATAAAAGTGGGGATTATCTCACTGCTGAGGGAGAGGCCCCTGATGGAAGGCACCTGAGTTAGACTGCAACTCCTTTCAGGGACTGAAGTCCACCCATTGTGCACCAAGTTTTTTATGGGAGAGCAGTTTTCCCCCATAAGGCCATCTAGGTAAAGATTTTGTAATTGCCTGGATCTGGGCCTGAAAGAGACATAGGATTCTGGCCTGGAGCCAAACTTGTCAAGCATTTGTCTTATTTTTCTATGTGTGTGTGTGTGTGTGTGTGTGTGTGTGTGTGTGTGTGTGTGTGTGTGTTTAATGTTGAGTAATTTTGATTTTTATCTGGGACATAGTTAATACTATGTTGCAAGCCTCAGATGCTATTATAATCTTCTAAAGGCTGCAAGCCTCTGAAACTATTATAATTGCCCAACAGCTGTTAATCTTTTGTTTTGTGTTTGTTTTGCAGGGTTTTCAGGTACAAAACATTTATTTCATTACATAAGTGTTAGTGGAGAGTAGTGCCCTAGAGCTTATTTGCTTTAGTGGTTGACTTAAACCCTTATTCAACAATGACAAAATAGTCATGAAACTGAAGTTTCAGATATTACTTGGTATAATATAGTGGAATAAATACAATATATAAGAAAATATGGGCTTGGGAATAAATTTAATATGTATGGTCTTTTTGCCAGAACTTCCAATTTACTTGAGTATGTCTGTTCATCAGTAAAAAGGAGTTCCAGCTCAGATGGTTCTCTAGTGAATTCTAAATTTAAGGAAGATATTATACCGATTCTTCATAATCGCTTCCATAAGACAGAAGCAAAAGGAATACTTCCCAACACAATTTAATAGGACAGCATTATCTTAACACTGAAACCACACAAAATGGTTGTAAGAAAAGAAAACTACAGACCAATATCTGTCATGAAAGTATATACAAAATTTTCAACAAAATAACAAACCAAATCCCAACATGTATAAAAATAATTATTCAACATAATCAAAAGGAATTTATTACAGGTATGCAAGGTGGGTTCAACATTCAAAAATCAATTAATGAAATTCATTACATCAACTGGCTAAAAGAAGAAAAACCACATGATTGTATTAATAGATGAAGGTAAAGTATTTTATAATATCAAAAATCCATTCATAATAAAACACAATACCAGCCATATACAACCGACTCACAGCTAGTATCATATGGAATGGGGAAAACCATTCCAAGGAGTGTCCCCTTATTTCCCCTTGCTGAGAAGACCTGGCCTAAGAAAATTATCTGCATTTAATTATCAGCTACTACCTTTTCGTTGGTTAGATGATCACAGACTTCGAAAAAGCAACATTTAGTAACTGGCGTCATGATTGTTTGGGAAACAGTCACTTGTGTAACACAAAAGTATAGGTGCTCTACAAATCACCATTAAAATGTCTAATTATTGAATAGATTCTTAGAAATTAGCCAGACAAATTGACAGATTATTAATTCAGCCACCTTTCCTGTTTTCTGCCATGTTTGTTCATTCACATACCCAATGTTAGTATTATTTAAGGGTTTTAATGTATCATGCACCATTTTAAGCACAGGAGATACAGAAAACAAATCAGGCAAAATATTGGGCTTACAATTTAGCTAATTAAATAGATAATACAAAGAATAGACAATATTATTCCAGACAACGGTATGTGCTACATCAGAGTAAGAGGATACTGACTAAAGGAAGTAGGTGATGTTTTAGATTAAGCAGAAGGGAGAACTCTGAGCAGAGTCTGCATACTTTGCAAATTTAATGTCAGGATAGAAGTCATACAGTACCTCAAAAACATGTTATTCTCTTCATATGATGTGACCACTTTTTCTTTAGTAGAAATTAGTCATGATATCAATACAGCACTATAATTCAGGGGAACAGCATGTTCTCTACAGCAGTTGATTACAATGAAATCTTTTCTGTTCTGGAGTGGCCAGTGATATTTCTCATGAAAATACATATTTCATCTGAATTTGTTTTTGCTTGTCATGCTTACTTTTTTCTGAAGAATTATTGAAGGGCTCTTTGGACTTATTAAATGCCTTTAATTATGAAATAATATTCCACCCACACTGCTTCACATTCAAGAACTTATTTCAGAGTAAATAAAGTTATTTTTCAAGAGATTTTCTGATGTTATTATACATATATCCTCTCACCCAAAAGTACCGTCCTTAAGAAAATAGGAGTTGACTAAGGATTCAAACTATGCTCAGATTAGTGACCCATACATGAAGCATTTTTTCCAAAGGCAAAATACACATATCTTGTCTCTAAGATGTTAAAGTGGGATAGATCATTTGATTACTATAATTAATAATTCATTTGCAAGAGCAACATGAGTTTTTATGTTTACTGGAGGACAAAAAAAAAGAGGGTTACTACTACACAAAGTGGGAAGGAAAGAGTGAGGATGAGAACCTAGAGTGTTTCTTTTATTAACAAACACACTGTGCTAGTGTTAAGGAAATTTTAACTACATATGTTGGGCCATTTGGGTACTCTCTGTATAGTTTAACGCCACAGGCATACCTCTAAGGGCAAGTCCCCCACAGCTGGGAGCCCATAGAAACAAAAAGGTAATGGATAACAGAGAAGAGAAAACATGTCAGTCATGCCCAATTACCACTTACAGAAGTGGCAACTGTATCTCATACTAGCATCTCTTCACTGTTGTATTATATATAGTCACACCTGTATCATAGAGATAGATGTAACACATGTATAGATAGGTGTAATTATAAATATATTCTATATCTGTCTATATTTTATAATACATACTATATGTTTAATATATTTATATTTTATATATAAATATATATATTTTATATATATGTGTGTGTATGTGTATATATCTTTATGTATGTTCTTTATCTTTGTTCAGATTTTTTTTCTTTCCTTTGCTTTCTTTTTGAATATAGGAAATGAGAGAAAGAATGGCCATTACCCAGAGATCTGGGGCTTGGAGATGGATGTGGAATTAATGGGCCTTGAGGTGTACTTCGTATTGATGGAGGATAATTGAATTGTTACTGGAAGCATAGTCAAGGGTAGTGAAACTATATGAAGAAAGGTCTGTATTGATATTGTGAAGCCAAAGTTGGGATTACTCAGGACATTTTTTTTCTTTTTGGCTTCCTAACATATAAGCCATTTTTGGAGAGATGGGAGAATTCTTACCATGTAAATGAATAGAGTTTACCTCCAATTGTAGAAACCACAAAGACTAGATATTCACTTCCCTAGTCACCCCTTTTAACTAGGACACCCATAAATTACTTAGCCTCAGAGGCCCTTGCCTGTGACTTGTCTTCAGGATTTATGACTCAAAAAAAGCAAAAACCATGTAAAATGCACTTAGAGCTAAAAGTTGTCATTAGTGAAAGCAGTGAAATCTAGTTTTCATGGGAAACAGTAGAATTCAATGTCCAATTCAGTATCCATGGTGCAAGGCACCTGGTGTTGAGGTCTAGCAGCTGGTATCTTCACTCAACTAGTTTGGTGGGTGATATGGGCAATATCTCTGGCTGACTAGCTTTCTTTTTCTCCAGCCAACTTTCTGAGCCTGTTTCTCCTCATCCTAGAGATTCAGTGAACTGTCCAAATTAAGATCAATAAGTTATTTATTGCTTAATTAAATAAGAGGTTACATTGCTTACAAATAAGCATCAAACATGACTAGTACATAAGTCGACTTTTGTTATATTTTAATCATTGCATATGGTATATTTTATTTGAGTCATGAATACATGTTGCCCATATCATGACACTGTATTGTTTCCTTTTAATTTTAATCATTTTTTTTCTTCTTATTTGTATGGTTTTGGCATTTGTCGATACAGTCTGTAATTCCTTCTCAGGTCTTTTATATTACACATTTTATTTGTCATAATGTTTTTATTCTATTGCTGCCAGATGGTATTAACAGTGCTATTGAGATTTTGGATATTGAGGAAATGGACTTAACCATTTCTATGTTATTTAATCCACTAAAGGTTACTTGTGATGTTCTAATATTAGTTTCAGAAGCCAAGTAAAGTGAATTGAATTATTCTGGTGTCATTAGATGTTTAACTTTTTGTACATTCCTCTGCTGTGTAATGTGTTTTTCCATTTCCTCCTTCTCAGTTTTTTGGTATCAGAATTTGGTGTATAAAAAAGCACAATTACCAGCACACAACGCCTGGTATTTAAGGAATCTTATTAACATAATATGGACTAAATTTACTTTTAGAGATTATGACTTCCAGAATTCAAAACCACATTTCCCTGTTATTATGTTTTATGGGGAATTATAAAATCACCCAGTTATAGCAAATGATATAAACGGGTAGAGAGGTTAGAAATTGGGAGGAATACTTAGTTAACCTCACAAAGCAATCCACTTGCTAAGGTCTATAACATGGAAATATGGAAAGAGAAGCTGGGTAGATTCAATATTCCTTGATTTTAGTTTCGCAAAGCAAATAGAACAATGTTGGGTGCTAGTAGGGTTTCCTTATCCTAGCTCTATTGGTCTAATTTTCATTAGTACTAATTTTACCCGCATTCTACTTCTGTTAAATCATTCTTAAAAATAGAAACAATATTGTGACTTTTCTCTAAATAACTGGTTCTCTTGGATATGAGAGCATTTAATAGAATAAATTTGGCAATAGTGACTTGAATTATACGTCAGATAAATTGAATATTCCCTGAACAAATGAAAATATGTTATTGCAGGGCGCCGTGGCTCACGCCTGTAATCCCAACACTTTGAGAGGCTGAGGCGGGTGGATCACGAGGTCAGGAGATCCAGACCATCCTGGCTAACACGGTGAAACCCCGTCTCTACTAAAAATACAAAAAATTAGCCAGGTGTGGTGGTGGGCAACTGTAGTCCCAGCTACTCGGGAGGCTGAGGCAGGAGAATGACGTGAACTCGGGAGGCGGAGCTTGCAGTGAGCTGAGATCATGCCACTGCACTCCAGCCTGGGCAACAGAGCGAGACTCCATCTCAAAAAAAAAAAAAGAAAATACGTTATTTATATTAAGACCAATAATGTTAAAATTGCACATATAAAATTCTTTGGATATTACATTAAAAGGTTTATTAATAGTCACACAGCACTTCAGATAAGGATTCATTAGGCAAATGGATCTTTTATGAAAATCAGCTAGCTGTATTGCCTGCATGTGAGTTGTACATTTAAGGAGACACTAAGTGTCTATTGCAAAAATCCAACAATGTACTATTAGTATTATTTGTAAAATAATATGTTTATCTATGATGTCTATTCTGAAAGAGAAATCTCCCCAGAACGAAGTAAAGCCTTATTGCAGAGTTAGGAGACTGCTGGTTAGATATTTTGATTACTTATATTATTTCTTTACCAATGCTCATTTACATACTTTTTTTCTGACTGGCTTAGTTTGGGAAAACACCAAGATGTTGGTAATTAGAACCAATGATAAAGTGGCTTAAAAAATGAGTTTCTTTTTTATCTGTCACTCCTGGCCGTGGCTTTGCTCAGTGCGTTCATTCAGGGACCCAGGCTGCTTCCATCCTGTTGTTCCTCCATTTCCCAGGGCAGGGGTCTGGAAACGTATGCCTGTAAATGAACAGAGTGTACATACTTTTAGTGTACATCCCAGAAGTACTGTCTTTGTTGTAGCTCTTCATAATAGCCACAGTGATGGGAAAGTAGCCTCAGACTCCATGTCATGAGTGAGCATGGCTGCATTCCAATAAAATTTTTAACAACAGGCAGAGGGAAGGATTTAGCCTGTAGCCTGCAGTTTTCCAACTACTGTATTAGGGCACTGTTGCTATAAGCATGGTTGAAGCTGGGTCACTGCCATGTCTGCTTCCTCTGGAAGAAAAGAGAAAGAAAGTATGAAATGGACACACCAATTTCCTACCACCCAACAATGAAAATGACAGATACCACTTTTGGCTGGCATTCAAATTAAAAAAAAATGTCCACCATTTCTAATTATATGGAAGACTGGAAGATATAGTTTGGCTGGACAATAGTGTGCCTAGATGCAATTTGTTCTTTTTTTCTTTTGTACGGAAGGCACGAAAAATCAATTAGAGTAAAAAACAATTTCTGCCACATTGACAGATGATTGGTGAGGAAAAAAGTGGAAAATTAATATAGCAATATTCCAGTATGATTTAGCCAGGCAACAAAAGGAATAGAGAAAGGTTATCAACCTCCTAAATATATAAATGTGTATAAAATAAAATTAGATTTATTAGAATTTTATATATCATGAAGCGATTCCTCATCATTATAAACTTTTAGATACTGAATAAATTAGCTGTGAGTTACAATGCTTAACAAATATTACACATATCATGAAATTAGTATTTTTAAGCTCTCAGCTCATTTTTTCTTTCAGTTTGCATGCCTAACACATTCTTTTTTTTTTTTTTTTGAGACGGAGTCTCTCTCCGTTGCCCAGGCTGGAGTGCAGTGGCGCTATCTCGGCTCACTGCAACCTCCACCTCCCCGGGTTCACAACATTCTCCTGCCTCAGCCTTCCGAGTAGGTGGGACTACAGGCGCCCACCAGCGCACCCAGATAATGTTTTGTATTTTTAGTAGAGACGGGGTTTCACCATGTTAGCCAGGATGGTCTCGATCTCCTGACCTCTTGATCCGTCCGCCTCAGCCTCCCAAGGTGCTGGGATTACAGGCGTGAGCTACCGCGCCCGGCCACCTAACACATTCTTAAACAGAATCTATAATTCACAGCCTGCAGAAGTTGATAAATGTGTCTGTGCAGTTTTGTGAAGAATATATGCCATTTGAAATAGCTGAATGAAAATTAGGTTGATGACGCTCTCCAGCTATCAGTAGTTCACTAGAGAATATCAGACTGGCTGCAAATATGTCAATATTTTATTAAATACTTTTATGAAATGCATATATACTAATTTTATTTCCACACTTTTTTATCTAAAAGATAGCTTTCAGAAAGAATGCATTGAAATTACCAGAAGTTAGCTAACCATATCTATTTAATCTCATACACAAGATTAAAACACCAAGACTATAATCATATAGAAATAAAATATGCTGTTTGTGTTTTTATTCTTTATGCATGGCCTAAAGTGTAAGCAGTTTTGAGTGATCACTGGTTCCAAGACGATATGCTTCAGTTACTTTACACAGTTTCATTCATATAATATTCATTAATTTAAAATGCTAACAATAACAGTTACAGTTCTCAAATGGCATTCTGTAAGGACACAGATTTTGATTGTAGTAGTGAACATTTATTTGGGTTCACACAGATTTTCATTCTTACTTTCTGTTTCATGTCAGATTTTCCCTCCTTCGGTTATCCACGCACTGATTGACATCTTATAGCTTTTCTCACATTTTAATCTCTGTTAGTAAAACTCAATTTTCTGTTGAGATATTTGTTGAACTATTACTATATTTTGATACTCTGTCAGTATAATATTCAAACTTAAATTTTTTGACCCCTCAAAATTTGTATATATTGATATGAGTTGTCAGTACATGATGGGTTTTAAATTAATTTTTGCTTATCAGTCTTGACTCCACTACAATGATGACATCCTCTAGAGCAATAAACATAACTAAGATAATGGGCTATTAAATAAAATGAGTCTTTATGGGTACGAGTAAAATCTTGTTCTTATGTATATTTAAAAGGGATAATTTAAGTAATCATGCGCCTGAAATTGTGTAATGACACACTTTTGTGAAAGGTCCTAACTTATCTCCCATGTTCCTTTGTATGATGTGTGTTAAGTTCTAAATTAACATGTCAGAAGTTAAGTAGTTCCTGATTTAATTACTCTCATTTCTTAATCACAGTACCTTGAGCACAACAAAAGTGTTATCAATAATACCATAGGGAAATAATAAGAATTTGCAATAAACCAATTAAGCGATGAATTTTACCCAAGAAAGTGATGAAGGATTTGAATTGGTAAACAAAGCTTGTAGATATATGTATACTTTTTCTGTTTAACATCCTTACTATTGCATCTGAAGTAGAAATAATAAGATTTTGGTCTTAACTACATTTTTGCCCTCCATTAAGATGAAAATTTTGAGAAAATAGTTAAAAATGTGACTGCCCCTACTCTAAAGAAGCATCTTTTGAGTAGCCAATGCGGCATCATTTTATAAGCTTCTTTCTCACCTCTTTCTTTTATTTGTCTTACAAAATTTTTTCATGACTTTCTCATACATCCAGGTACTACAGTTCTAAGGCTAACCCATGTTATCATTGAAGAGAATTTGACAAATATCTTATGCAGGTTATGTGGAGAACTCTTATCTTGGGAGGTGCCATCAAAGAGCACAGAGTGTGGTTGGGATAGGAGCATTAAGGAAGTCCTGGCTAAAGAATAGTCCTTTGCATTTTTCTGCATATTTACCAAAAAGAAACTCAGATTTTTCAGATAGTATGGAAAATACACTCTTCTGCTTAAAGTTGAAAAACAATGTAGGCAGGTGAAAACCCTCTTATTCTAGTGAACTGCATTAATGATTTTTACAAGAAACAACAGAATCTAAAGAACAGAGTGGAGGATTTTGGCAATATCTAAAATGAAGCAATGGATACAAATAAGCATTACATCAATGCCTAATGAGAAACAAGCAGAGTTATTTCTCTACAATTAAAAATTAGTAAATAAAAATTTATCAAAATGGGACTTATAAATTAGTCCCATTTTGGTGTTTGAAAGGAAGTATTACAATGAAGACTGAAATGGAAAACACACATTCAAAAATAAAAATATATATATATATATGTTTATATTTTACATATACAATCTATTTTATTTTCCCACGTAGGACAAAAAAGGTATGGCCTCTACGAAACAAGGCAAGGACAAAATGAGTGAATAATAGGATATATCCAACCAAGGAGGGAAGCAAAAATAAAAGTATCTGGGAAAATAAATTGTTGCAGGAAACAAAAAATAAAACAAAATAATATCCACATAGAAGTGGGATAAAACAGATTAACACTGCAGAAATTTTCATCAAATGTATAAGGGATGGAGTCGGGATATATTTCCAAATGTAGAATGTAAGAGCAAATGAACAACTAAAATGAAAATGACAGGTAATGGAAAACAGGAAATAATTTCATTCTATTAATTTAAGAATGACATCTTAAATATCAAATAAAATACAAATAATAAATAAAAATTAATAATATGATGGAAGATGTCCTTTACCAAAATAGAAATACTTTATTTAGACCAAAACAGTTCAAAATTTTCTGGGCAAAAAATAATAAAGAGATTTATATACATTTAAAGCTATAATTATGAAAACTTTTCCTAATAAACATGCAGATGAAAAAGGGTTTAGAAATGAAGACCAAAGAAATTATGCTGTCAGGTATGCAATAGAGACAGTATGTCTAAAAATAAACAAGCAATAACAAGAAACAGGTAAGATATAGACCTCGAAAATTAAACTCCAGAAGGCAAAGACCCAATAACTCTAAAGATTACAAGATAAAAGCAAATAACCCAAGAACGTTCTGTGGAGTCTTCTTTCATTTTAAAGGCAGCATATGTAAATTATACAGCTAAAGGCTCAGAAATATGCAATGGAAGAATTTTTCCTGATAAAATGTAACTAACTTGCAAAGAAACAAGTTTTTGTGACTGGCTTATTTTATTAGCATAATGTCCACATGATTCATCCATGTTGTAGCATGTGTCAGAATTTCCTTCCTTTTGTTTTTTAATTTTTTAAATTATACTTTAAGTTCTGGCATACATGTGCAGAATGTGCAGGTTTGTTACATAGTTTGTTTGTTACATACACGTGCCATGGTTGTTTGCTGCACCCATCAACTCATGATCTACATTAGGTATTTCTCCTAATGCTATCCCTCCCCTAGCCCCCCACCCCCTGACAGGCTCCAGTGTGTGATGTTCCCCTCCCAGTGTCCATGTGTTCTCACTGTTCAACTCCCACTTAGGAGTGAGAACATGCGGTGTTTGATTTTCTGTCCTGTGTTAGTTTGTTGAGAATGATGGTTTTCAGCTTCATTCATATCCCTGCAAAGGACATGAACTCATCCTTTTTTTATGGCTGCATAGTATTTCCATGGTATATATGTGCCACATTTACTTTATCAAGTCTATCATTGATGGGCATTTGGGTTGGTTCCAAGTCTTTGCTATTGTGAACAGTGCCACAGTAAATATAGGTGTGTATGTGTCTTTATAGTAGAAGGATTTATAATTTTCAGGGTATATACCCAGTAATGGGATTGCTGGGTCAAATGGTATTTCTGGTCCTAGATCCTTGAGGAATCACCACATTGTCTTCCAAAATGGTTGAATTAACTTACACTCCCACCAACAGTGTAAAAGTGTTCCTATTTCTCCACATCCTCTCCAGCATCTGTTGTTTCCTGACTTTTTAATGATCGCCATTCTAACTGGCGTGAGATGGTATCTCATTGTGGTTTTGACTTGCATTTATCTAATGATCAGCAATGATGAGTTTGTTGGCTGCAAAAATGTCTTCTTTTGAGAAGTGTCTGTTCATATACTTCACCCACTTTTTGATGGGGTTTTTTTGTTTTTTTTCTTGTTAATTTGTTATGTTCTTTGTAGATTCTGGATATTAGCCCTTTGTCAGATGGACAGATTGGAAAAATTTTCTCCCATTCTGTAAAATGCCTGTTCACTCTGATGATAGTTTCTTTTGCTTGCACAAGCTCTTTAGTTTAATTAGATCCCATTTGTCAATTTTTGGTTTTGTTGCCATTGCTTTTGGTGTTTTAGTCATGAACTCTTTGCTCATGCCTATGTCCTGAATAGTATTGCCTAGGTTTTCTTCTAGGGTTTTCATGGTTTTAGTTCTTATGTTTTAAGTCTTTAATCCATCTTGAGTTAATTTTTGTACGAGGTTTAAGGAAGGGGTCCAGTTTCAGTTTCTGCATATGTCTAGACAGTTTTCCCAATACCATTTATTGAATAGGGAATCCTTTCCCCATTGCTTGTTTTTGTCAGGTTTGTCAAAGATCAGATGGTTGTAGATGTGTGGTATTATTTATGAGGCATCTGTTCTGTTCCATTGGTCTATACGTCTGTTTTGGTAACAGTGTCATGTTGTTTTGGTTACTGTCGTGTTGTAGTATAGTTTGAAGTCAGGTAGCATGATGCCTCCAGCTTTGTTCTTATTGCTTAGGATTGTCTTGGCTATGCAGGCTCTTTTTTGGTTCCATATGAAATTTAAAATAGTTTTTTTCTAATTCTGTGAAGAAAGTCACTGGTAACTTGATGGGGATAGCATTGAATCTATAAATTACTTTGGGCAGTACGGACATTTTCACAATATTGATTCTTTCCGTCCATGAGCATGGAATTTTTTCTTTATTTGTTTGTGTCCTCTTTTATTTCCTTGAGCAGTGGTTTATTGTTCTCCTTGAAGAGTTCCTTCACATCCCTTGTAAGTTATATTCATAGGTATTTTATTCTCTTTGTGGCAATTGTGAATGGAAGATCACTCATGAATTGACTGTCTGTCTATTCTTGGTTTATAGGAATGCGTTTGATTTTTGCACATTGATTTTGTATTCTGAGACTTTGCTGAAGTTGCTTATCAACTTAAGGAGTTTTTAGGCTGAGACAATGGGGTTTTGTAAACATACAATCATGTCATCTGCAAACAGAGACAATTTGACTTCCTCTCTTCCTATTTGAATACCCTTTATTTCTTTCTCTTGCCTGATTGCCCTGGCCAGAACTTCCAATACTATGTTGAATAGGAATGGTGAGAGAGGGCATCCTTGTCTTGTTTCAAAGGGAATGCTTCCAGATTTTGCCCATTCAGTATGACATTGGTTGTGGGTTTGTCATAAATAGCTCTCACTATTTTGAGGTATGTTCTATCAATACCTAGTTTACTGAGTGCTTTTAGCACTAAGGGGTGTTGAATTTTATCGATGCCTTTTATGCATCTATTGAGATAATCATGTGTTTTTTTGTCATTGTTTCTGTTTATGTGCTGGATTATGTTTATTGATTTGTTTTATGTTGAACCAGCCTTGCATCCCAGGGATGAAGCCGAGTTTTTCATGATGGATAAGCTTTCTGATATGCTGCTGGATTCTGTTTGCCTGTATTTTATTGAGGATTTTAGCATTGATGTTCATCAGGGATATTGGCCTGAAATTTTCTTTTTTGTTGTTGTGTCTCTGCTAGGTTTTGGTAAAAGGATGATGCTGGCCTCCTAAAATGAGTTAGGGAGGATTCTCTCTTTTTCTATTGTTTGGAGTAGCTTCAGAAGGGATGGTATTAGCTCCTCTTTGTTCCTCTGGTAGAACTAGGCTGTGAATCTGTCTGGTCCTGGACTTGTTTTGGTTGGTAGGCTATTAATTACTGCCTCAATTTCAGAAGTTGTTATTGGTCTATTCAGGGATTTGACTTCTTCCTTGTTTATACTTGGGAGGGTGTATGTGTCCAGGAATTTATCCATTTCTTCTAGATTTTCTAGTTTATTTGTGTAGAGGTTTTTATAATATTCTCTGATGATAGTTTGTATTTCTGTGGGATCAGTAGTGATATCCCCTTTATCATTTTTTATTGAGTCTATTTGATTCTTCTCTCTTTCCTTCTTTATTAATCTGGCTAGCGATCTATCTACTTTGTTGATCTTTTCAAAAAACCAGCTCCTGGATTCATTGATTTTTTGAAGGGTTTTTCATGTCTGTATCTCCTTCAGTTCTGCTCTGATCTTAGTTATTTCTTGTCTTCTGCTAGCTTTCAAATTAGTTTGCTCTTTCTTCTCTAGTTATTTTAATTGTGATGTTAGGGTGTCGATTTGAGATCTTTCCTGCTTTCTCTTGTGGGTATTTAGTGCTATAAATTTCCCTCTAAACACTGCTTTAGCTGTGTCCCAGAGATTCTGGTATCTCGTGTCTTTGTTCTCATTGGTTTCAAAGAACTTATTTATTTCTCCCTTAATTTCTTTATTTACCCAGTAGTCATTCATGAGCAGGTTGTTCAGTTTCCATGTAGTTGTATGGTTTTGAGTGAGTTTCTTAATCCTAAATTCTAATCTGATTGCACTGTGGTCTTAGAGACTGGTTGTTATTATTTTCTTTTGCATTTGCTAAGAAGTGTTTTACTTCCAATTATGTGATTGATTTTAGAGTATATGCCATGTGGCAGTGAGAAAAATGTATATTCTGTTCTTTTGAGTGGAGAATTCTGTAGATGTTTATCAGGTTCATTTGATATAGTGCTGAATTCAGGTACTGAATACCTTAGTTAATTTTCTCTCTTGATGATTTGTCTAATATTGTCAGTGCGGTATTAATGTCTTTCACTACTATTTTGTGAGAGTGTCTTTCTCTGCGAAGGTCTCTAAGAACTTCTTTATAAATCTGGATGCTCTTTCCTTGGGTGCATATATCTGTAGGATAGTTCAATTTTTTATTGAGTTAGACCCTTTATCAGTATATGATTTTTTGTCTTTTTTAAAAATCTTTGTTGGTTTATAGTCTGTTTTGGTCAGAAAATTGGATTGAAAACCCTGCTTTTTTCTGTTTTCCATTTTCTTGGTAGATTTTTCTCCATTTCTTTATTTCAAGCCTATGTGTGTCATTACATGAGAATGGTCTCTTGCAGACAGCATACCACTGGGTTTGGGTTCTTTATCCAGATTGCCACTCTATGTATCTTAAATTGATATTTAACCCATTTACATTTATGGTTAGTATTGATATGTGTGGATTTAATTCTGTCATCATGATACTGCCTGGCTATTTTGCAGACCTGTTTATGTGGTTGCTTTATAGTGCCACTGGTCTGTGTACTTCAGCGACTTTTTATAGTTGCTGATAACAATCGTTCCCTTCCATATTTAGTGCTTCTTAAAGGAGTTCTTGTAAGGCAGGTCTGGTGATTACAAATTCCCTCAGCATTTGTTTGTTGGAAAATAACCTTATTTCCCCTTCACTTATGAAGCTTAGTTTGGCTGGATATGAAATTCTGGGTTGGAATTTTTTTTTCTTTAAGAATGTTGAATATTGACCCTCAATCTCTTCTGGCCTGTAGGGTTTCATCTGAAAGTTCCACTGTTAGTCTAATGGGCTTCTGTTTGTAGGTGATCTGACCTTTCTCTCTAGCTACCTTTAACAGTATTTTTCTTTCAGTTTTATGTGGGAGAATCTGATAATTATGTGGCTTGCAGATGATATTCTTGTGAGTTATCTTACTGGGGTTCTCTGTATTTCCTGAAATTAAATGTTGGCCTAAGTTGAGGAAGTTCTCATAAATGATATCCTGAAATATGTTTTTCAGATTGGTTCCATTTTTCCCATCTCTTTCAGGGACACCAATCAGCCATAGATTTCATCTATTTACATAATCACACATTCTCAGAGGTTCAGTTCATTTCTATTCATTCTTTCCTGCCAAATTTCAGAAAGCCAGTCTTCAAGCTCTGAGATTCTTTCCTCCACTTGGTCTATTTTGCTTTTAATACTTGTGATTGCATTATTAAATCCTCGCAGTGTGTTTTTCACCTATATCCGGTCAGTTACATCCTTCTCTGTACTGTTTGTCAGCTCGTGACATTTTTTTATCATGATTTTTAGCTTCCTTGTATTGGGTTACAACATATTCCTGGAGCTCAATGAGCTTTATTGCTATCCATATTCCGAATTCTGTTTATCTCATTTTAGCTATTTCAGCCTCAGCTTCGTTCCGAACACTTGCTGTAGTTGTAACACAATCATATGGAAGAAAAAAGGCACTCTGGCCTTTTGAGTTTTCAGCATTCTTGTGATGAATTTTTCTTATTTTTGTGGGCTTATCTACCTTCAATCTTTGAGGTTGCTGACCTTTGGATAGGTTTTTCTTTCCTTTATCCTATTTGATAACCTTGAGAGTTTAATTGTAGTATAGGGTAGATTCAGCCAACTGGCTTTATTTCTGGGAGATTTTAGGGGTCCAACTCTCAGCTTCCAACTCTCTGAATGTGTGCTCTACGTCTGTGGAACTTGTATTGGGCCCTGAATTGATTCTCTGGCTCCCTGATGTTTGAAGTCCACTGTGCTGGGGAGCCGAGGAATGGCAGCTGCATTCGAGTGTTAGTGAATGAAGAGGTGCCTGCTTCCCTGTGGTGTTCTGCACAGTGGCAGATACAAGGCAGCTGGGAGTGGGGAGTGGGTGCCCCTGCTAGAGACTGAGTTCTGTTGCAATGGAGGTGGTGTTGGCTTGGGGTGGGGTGCTGGCCAGTGCAGACCTGGGTGCCTTCTCTGTTTCCCAAAAGCAGGAGTGATCACTCAAGGTATGGGAGGATTCCCTGTTCTCTGCACAGCCTTAGCCCAAGGGTGGACCACTGGTGGGGGTGGGGCTTGCTGGCTCTGTGCCCACCAAAGACTCTGCCTGCAATGCCAGTTGGTGGGGGATGAAGAGCATACTGAATTCCCAAGTCCTGGAGGAGCAAGTAAAGCAAAACCTGTCTGTGCAGACACTCACTGGCAAAGTGATGTGGGGAGTTGCCCTGGGCTCCAGGGAGGCTACAGTATAGGGCTGGTGTGCAGCCATGTGGTCTCCCTTGCTGCAGCTCTCCACTGATCAGGCAAGGTCCACCAGGCATGGAAGCTGTGGTGTGGGCTCCAGGGCACCTCAGACTTCCCTGTAAGAAGGCATGGCTAGGCTGGGGCCCCAGGATTGGTAAACAGACCAAGGAGTTCTCCGGTCAGAACAACCCCATCTGATGTACAACACCACCCTGCAGAGATTAGGTCTGACGGTTCCCCTAGGGCTAACGTCTCTTATGGGAACAAGTTGAGCCTAGGGAGACACCCATCCCCAGCCATGCTCCATTGCAGGCACTCTTACACCAAACCTCCTGGGCTGCACATCAGCTGGTTTCCTGCCCTACCACTTCTCTAAGCAGCTCTCCCTGCCGCCTCAAGTGCCTGTAGTGGTTGAGTAGTCCCTTCAGGCTGAGGTTCCAGAGTCATGTGGGGAGAGCAGGTTGTTCTTTATCAGTTCAACTCACCAGTTCTCCCAGAGCTGTTACACTTCATAAAAGAGTCCTAGTGTGCAATAGCCCATGCAGGGTTCCCAGCTTTATCTCCCTTCAGCTCAGCTTCTTTGTCTTCCCTTTGTCCACTCTCAGCACCTTCCCTCTGAAGATCTGTTAAAAGCACACCAGTCATCTCAGTCCCTCCATGGGAGCTGTTCCACTTGTCTGCAACTAGTCAGCCATCTCCATTCATGTTATCTCTGTAATATTTCTTAAAACTGTACACAAACCAGGGAAACATGTTGTCTCAGAAAGGTTGGCCTAGGCCTGGTGACCCAAGTCACCCAGGACCAGTACAATTGGGAACATGGGCAGCATGGCTGCCATTGCTGCAGAAAAAGTCCTAGAATTTGGAGCATTCAGGAACAGGCCAATAACGTGTTGCTTCACCACTAGGAAGCCTCCGGGCATTCCTGTCCAGGGATAATCTTTTATTCATAAGATGACTAATGTGGAGGCATTGGATCCTATCTCAGTTCGGAGCCCATAAGAAATTGGTTTAGGAATTATGCAGATGCACTAGCCCTTTATCTTGAGAATTTAGAGAATAGTTTCAAAAAGAATCAAATGGCCAGCGAGTGTAACGAAGGCAAATTCACTCAACATTCATTCCTTATTTTAAAAAAGTCAATTTATTCAATATAAATGTCATAAAGTCCTAATTTGTGTTGAGCACATAATTCTTCTGGGGCCTCTAAAAAATGCAAAGCACAAAATATATGATGGCAATGCAGAAGTGCAGAGGAAGCAGAAGAGTGAAAGTATTTGCCACAGTAAACTAAGGTAAATTTTTAAAAAATCTTCATTATATTGTTAGTGAATTGCAAGAAAACATGGACTCTATGAATTAATAGATGCAGAGTACAATGTTCAGTAAGAGATTTAAAAAGATAATGAGACATAGAGAAAAAATTAAATGTTAGAATGGGCTAGAATACATAGCAATAAATCTAAAAATACAACAAAAAATTGAAACCTATTATTAAAAATAAATTTATGAATTAAGATCTTACAAACTCAAATTAAAGAACAAAATAGAACAATTCTCAATATGTTATGAAATATGACAAAAGGAAGAAAAAGGCCACAAATTATAGTGAAAAATGGAATATAGAAAATGAAAATTCAAGGTAATATACAGGTCACTGATGTTCATTTGTTCATGGGGCCTTTAATTATTTTTTACCAGGCCCTATGCTGATCAATATAGATACATCAATAAACTAAACAAGAATAGTTCTAATCTTTCAGAAACATATATTTGTGTGGCATACAGTAATAATAACAATTATTATTACTTTAATGAAATAAATATAAATTTAGAAAAGTGCTATTTTGTCAGAGTTTCTATCTAATTTAATCAGAAAATAGTTTATCATGGGTTAATAAGAAGTTGAAGAATCACTGCAAGGCCTAAAGAAAGCAACTCCAAATTGAATTTTAGGAAAGACTCGCTAATTTATACTGCAAAGCTGAGAACCCAAGGGGAACGCTGCCTTAGTGGATTGAATAGTGGCCTCCAAAAGGAAATCTCTACATCCTGGAAATTGTGAACGCAATTTTGAGAAAAAGTGTTTGTTTATGTGGTTAATTTAAATATCTTAAAATGAGATTATCTTGAATTATCTGGATGAGCTCTAAACCCAGTGACAAGTGTCATGAGAGACACAGAAGAGAAGTTTACCTGAAGACTCAGACAGAGATTGGAGTGGTGCAGCCACAAGAAATGCTGCCAGCCACCAGAAGCTGGAAGAGACAGGGAATAGATTATCCTCTGGAATCTTTGGAGGAAGAATAGTCTTGCCTCTACTTAATTTTGGAGATCTGACTTTCAGAACTGTGAGAAAATAAATTTCTGTTGTTTTAAGCTACCAAATTTATGGTAATTTGTTTAGGTAGCCCTAAAAAACAGATACATTGTCTTTTCTAGGATTAGGAAACCACATAGCAAACTGCCTCTACAGCTGCTGGCTCCACAGGATACCACAATGAGCATCTCCCACAATCAAGAGACCTGCTATAGCCAAGGGGCACTATCTCTGCTGCTGTCTGCAGAATCAGCCTACATTAGCTAGAAATGGATGATGATTACCAGTAAACATATCCATGGTAGTTCTATGAAAGAAGCAATCAGAAGCAGATTGAGATAGAGAGTTACAGAATGAGGCTAGAGGTATGGGCCTGAATGAAAACAACTTGCAGGATGGATGAGAAAGTATTTTCTGAGAATAAGACATTGTGTTTAAAATTTGAGAATGTGAGAAGAAATGTAAAACAATATTTTTAAACCCAAGAGAGAACTGAATCTGCAGAGCCAAAGGAATAAAAAAATACCAGGGGGAATAAAGAATAGATAATAATTTCCTATGGTTTAAATTTCTGTCCCCATAAAAACACATGTGGAAATTTAATTCCCATTGTAATCATTAAGAGGTGATTAGGTTATGAGGGCTCCACCCTCATGGATGGAACTGGTGCTTTTATAATAGTAAAAGTTCCCTGTGGCCCTCTCTTTGCTCTGTCATCTTCTGCCATGTGATTACACAGCAAGAAGGCCCTTACTGAATTCCGGTCTTAGACTTCCCAATACCTATAACTGTGAGAAAATAAATTTCTGTTCATTATAAATTACTCAATCTGCGGTAGTCTATTGTGGCAGCACAAAATGGATGAAGATATCATTAAAAGATATACTGGTGGAGATTTTTAATTGTAGGGATTCTTTTAAGAAGATAGGGTTTCTAATGATAGGTAGGCAGTAAAAATAAAGATGTATATAAAGAATAACATGTATGGTATATTTAATGGCAAAGAAAAATATATAATCAACCAATGCATTGCTTCCTATATTGAGATAGATTTGATATCCCTCTCCAAAAAATATATATATTTTACATAAGTAAATACACATATGTTATATATATACGTATATATATAATATTTTTTATATAGTCAACAGAACACAATAGTATGTTTAGTGACATAGGCAATTTATATTCTGGCTTAAAATTTATGTATCTTCACAAATTAAAAACATTTTGCAGGCTGGCATTCTGAGTAAAACTATCATTGTGATTATAATCACAAAACAAAAACAAGGATGCTCACTTTCACCATTGTTATTGAACATAGTACTTGAAGTCCTAGCTAGAGCAATTAGACAAGATAAAGAAATAAAGGGCATCCAAATTGGAAAGGAAGAAGTCAATTTATCCTTCTTTGCAGATGTCATAATCTTATATTTAGAAAAACATCAAGACTCCACCAAAAATAAATAAATAAATAAATGCCAGAACTGACAAATTCAGTAAATGTGCGGGATACAAAATTAGCACACAAAAATCATTAACATTTCTATATTCCAACATTGAACAATCTGAAAAAGAAATAATAAAATAATCCCATTTACAATAGCTACAAATAAAATTAAGTACCTAGGAATTAACCAGAAGTGAAAGATTGCCACAATGAAAACTCTAAAGCACTGATAAAAGAAATTGAAGAAGACCCTGAAACATGGAAATGTATTTCAGATTCAATACAATCTCTATGAAAATACCAATGACATTCTTCACCTAAATAAAAAAAAATTCTAAAATTTATATGGAACCACAAAAGAACCAGATTAGTCAAAGCTATCCTGAGCAAAAGAACAAAACTGGGTGGATCACATTATCTGACTTCAAATTATGCTACAGAGCTATGGTAACCAAACAGCATAATTTTTAGTTTGCTTGTTTGTTTGTTTGCTTTTGGTGAAAAGTATTAGATTTTAAACTTCCTGCTTTGACCTTTACTAGTTTTCTGTTTGTGCTACATAATTGACATTCTGAAATTTTTCTGAACCATGATCCAGGGAGTTCAGAATATTTTCTTTTTACATTCTCATGTGTAGTATTCTACTTATCCTAACCCAGCTCTCCTTGTCTTTGTGCACCTTATTTTTATATAGCAAAAGATTTCCATGAACTTCTTGAGACAATGCTTATGGGAGGCAATTTTTAAGCTTTATGAAGGTATTGAAGGAGAGGGTTTTGCAAAATGTTCAGAAGCTCTTTTTTGTGCATGTTAAGTTTATGATGCATTTTTGATATTCTGATGGATATATTGAGTAGATAATGGCTTATTCAATTCTAGAATACAGAGGAAATGTTTGAGTTATAGTTAATATATGGGCGACATTTATATATTTATGTAAATTATAGCCTCATGACTGGACAAAATGACAAAGATGTGTAAAGAAAAAGAAAGATAATAAATCTACTATCTAAATGGGGCATTTAGACATAAAGAATGGGGACGATAGAAACAAGCAAAAAAATTTGTAAAGTATTAACCAGTGTGGAAAATAGAGAGAACTGTATGCACTGGAAACCAGAGTTTAAAAGGAAGCAATTATTTGTAGATTATTATTTTTAGCAATTAAAAGACCTCTTCTAGACCTGTGGAGTACAGTTGAATTCACACTCAAAAACTCTCTGTTCATTCAGAACAGCAAACGTGAAGCATAAAAAAATCAATTCTCAAACAAAATACCTATATCTTAGTAGAATAGAAACAGATAAATAAACAGAAAACAAAGACTGAAGCCATGGGCTTGCTCAATTTAGATCCTGAAACAGGCAGAGGTTGTAAAATATGTTTAAAATGTTTGTGGAAAAGAAGACAAAGTGTACTGGCACAGAACTGGGAGCCATTAGATGACTCACTGCTTAAAGACAACGGTCTTTTGAACTCATTAGATAGATCCTTAAAAAGGCTGTTAAACTGTTCATTGGAATCTAAAAAAGTCATGGAAAAAACAACAGTCTGGCTTCTAGGGGCCAATTGAACTTCTGTGTGAGATAGAGCCTGTCATATTTTACACCTGCAAATGCTAAAGAGAAAAAGATGAGTAGAGTAAAAATAAAGAGAGTTTTAAAAAACACAAGGTTTGCATTGCAAAATATCAAAACACAGAAATCAATGGTAGCCAACAAATTAAAAAATCAGAGATACCATGTTTTCAAACAAAATTTCTAAATTATATTCCATCAAAGATTTTATAATAAACATATGGGACATGTTCCATTATTACAAATTTTAAAAGCATAGCATGTATTTTTTAAAAGATCATAAAATAAAAACAGGGAGAAAAAAATAATATCTAATACATGTGTAAAAAAGAGGTGATACCCGCTTTGGAAATAAAATGTATAGTCATAAAATAAGAAATGCAAGAGATAAAATGAACTCTACACTTTACGCATAAAACAACAAAATAATCAGTTAGAAGAAGCTCAGCCAGATGCATGTATATAAAAATATGAACATTCACATAAGAGGCATGAAGTTGATTAACTCAATATTCTTTTAGTGGAAGTTTCAAATGAATAAACTGTAGGAGATGAGATAACAGCAATACCTGAAAATATATTTGCAAAAAATTTTCTAGAATCAAATCAAGAAATCAGTCTCAGGTTGAGCAAGATAAAAAATAATAATATCATGCCAAACAAATTTTATTAAAACTACAGAATGTCCAAGATAAAGAAAACAATTTAAAAGCTGTCCAAAAAGAACAGATTATATACAAATAATGAAGGAATAATGCTTCCTTCTCAGCAGCCATTGAGGTAGATAAAAGACATGGCAGTAATATCTTCAAAGGGTTGTGGAATTCTTAAACACAGCCAAATTAATGTTCAAGATAGGGGCAAAATAAAGATACCTTCAGACTTACTAAAGACCAACAACGATTATAAATCCCAGATTTTTATTAAAATTTATATTAAAAGGCGTTATTACTAAATACAAATTCGAACACAGAGAGAATACATAATATACAAGAAACACAGTTACCCCATAATTTGATGAAGTTGATAAATGTAATTACCTATTGATATAATTTGCATACATATTTTTAAAGGAATATGACTAACACAAATGATCAAGATAAAATATTAAAAGATAATGACAAAAGTAAATGGACAGTGTATCCAAATGGTATTTTAAGATTGTGAAATTTCTCAAGATGACTCAGAAGATGATTTGAAATGCTAAGTGGCACTTCAGTTAAAGTTTTCAGCATAAGGCTAAAGAAAAAATTATCTAACTAGAAAAATATTTACCAAAAATAACATCAACAGCCAATTTTTGAAAAACTGTGGTAACAATATTGGCATAAGTGAAAAAGATTTTAAAGCAAAAAGGAATAATTAGAAATAAAAAAAGGAACATAATACAATAATTAAAGAGAAGCCCAATAAAATGCTATAGTGATCATATATTGGTATGTTCCTGATGGTATAGTTTCAAAATATAAAAAGTGAGAAATGGGAATTTTCAGAAGTTGACAAATGGATAAACATAATAAAAATTCTATGGTAATAGTCTAAGTAATTTAATTGATAAAACAAAGACGATTTAGAAATAGGAGCTTTGAATACAAACCTTAATTAACAATTTAAAAGATGCATAACGTGTGATCCCTAGTGTATACATGTATACATACATACGTATATATATATAGCCCCTTTATATAGTGGCTATATATTATCACTTGTTAAATTGTTAATTAAATTTGATATTTGTGATGTTATGTATAAATGCATAAAGATATATTAATACACATACAAACATACATGTATAAACATACTAATATATCCTTACAAACATATACATAATGAGCTTACATATAATATACATTGTGTATACATGGTATATGCATACAGAAAATACTTGAGATTTACATTAAATTATGTATCGAATGAATATTGGTTCATTTTAAGAAGATTGTGACTCCCATTAAAGAAATATTTGCCAATGAATGAATATAAATGGTCAAGCTTTTGTTTACAGGTTATTTTTAAGAACTACGTTAGATTTATTGTTGAATTGGTCTTGAAAAAGAACTTAAAATTCTTTGCTTCTGGTATTATAAAATCACAACCATTTCCTTTCTCATTTCTGCACAGTCTGTCTCACTTTATGACATGTCTTCATTCTGACCAAGCTATTCATTTATCTTTCAAATTTGTTATTCTATAAATCAATATCACTGCTGTGTCTGTAAGGTCCTCATTTCATTTCCAGCTCCTTACCCATCATTTGACTTCCACTATTTCTTTGAGTTCTGGATCTGCCTCCCTTACCTGAAGAAAACTCCAATGACCTAATTTGAATTAACATGCCTTTTCCAATCACCTGTTTCACTTAGTTGATTAAATGCTGTGGTTTATTAATATATATACTTATTGAAAAATTCCAAGTGAAATTATACGGTGTTGAATTATACAATGTTGAAAGCCTCTATGTGGTAACTACATATTACTTGTATACTTCAGACCCATGTATACATTCATATTCAGTGCAGGCACACAGAGTGGTGTTTCTTAAGGCCCAATGAACCCAAACCAATATATTAATAAGATTCTTTTTTATTGGAAAATTCTGAAATGTAACATATTGAATATGTGCCTTTCATTGAAATATAAAGGTTAAAATAATTTTTTTCAATATTTTTGCTCTAAGTCATAATTTTAATGTGAATATACTTGTGCCTATGCTTTTCAGGAATTCTAATTCACATTAATGTGAATTCAACTCACATTAATAATTTTCTTAAACACTGGAATTAATAAGTTATTAAAAATGTTTAGCAAACATCTCAAAATACTTAGTTATCAAGACCAATAATTCTAGGGACATTCTTGGTTGAATGAGTATGCACCACTTGTGACTCAGTAAATGTATTTAGTAATCCCTAATATTATTGAGGTTTTACATCCTTAGCATATCTTATTTTCTGATAACTCAATTTCTAAGAGATGTTAAGTAACATATTTTAGTAAACCACATAACTAATAATTGATAGAACAAGTGTGTGAATCCCAGCGATCTAGCCCAATAGATCCACTTTTAATCCCTACTCTATACTGAGCTGAAAAATTGTATGTGTTTCTGAATTGATATTATGTTTCTTTTTTATTTATATAAATTTATGGGATAGAAGCATATTTTTGTTATATGTATATATATATATATATAGATTATGTAGTGATCAAGTATTTTTCTTAATATTAAAATTGTCTTTCCAAATGGGCAAAATTATTTCAAATATATGACTAATCATAATGGAAAGGTTGGCCAATGATCTCTTTATGTATTTAGCTTTAAGCACTTGAATTATGAATCTTACAGTAGAAAATGACCTTGAAAATTATTTTGTCTAATACCCCTAACAAAATGATGAGGAAATTTGGGTCCCAAATAAATAACTTCCAAATTTCATCCAAATATTTTCTGAATTGTTAAAAATAGCCTGGCATTTCTTTGCTTCTTTCTAGCACTTGTAATATCTGTTTGATACATGGCTAGGGCAAAATACATATCCTGTTTTTTTTGTGTGTTCTATAAACCAAGTAAATATGCTGTCTAATCCATGTTAGATAATAGACCCATTGGAGATAAAATAATTATAAGAAAATCAAATCATTATGAGTGCACATTTATTTTCTATTATCTTTTAATAATAAACTTTAACTAGAACCTTACCTGGACATATTCATTTACCTTCTACTTAGGTTGAAGTAATCATTACATGTTTGGATTAATGCCTACTTAATATGAAAGTTCAAAATATTTGTGAGTATGAGATTATATTTTACAAATATCAAATTTTCCTAAGTACATAATTTACAATATAAATCTGATTAACTATTGACATGGGTTTCTCTTGCAAGATAATTCTCCTGACTTTTGAGAAGATTCTAAAATTCCTGGAATTAAGTCCCCCAGTACCCTTGGCTGCTTCATATAAATGACAGTTGAACCAGCAGACAATAGCAAATAGAGGGTTTATTTCTATAATACATATAGAATTATATATATGTAAGAATTTTATATAATAAAAGTCTAATATATATTAGAATTATATATAATAAAAAATATAATTAAACCAACTATACTTTGTTAAATTTTAGCATTAAATATGGTTTAACTACATGTTCATCATTAAATTAAAAATGAAGTTTTAAAACAAGTAAAGAAATGTAGATAGAAAACAAACTTGGGAAGCAAATTGCTCCTGTATCATTATTCTGTACATTGCCCTGTGGCTGGGATTTCCACCATAAAGCATTTTCTCCAAAATATAATTTCCATTAAATATTCTTATCAATATTTCTATCAAATTAAAATACCCATTTAAGCCTTACATTATCAATTTGACAAAACAAGTAGATCAACAGAGTTAATAGAATTTTATAAACATGTATCTTAGTCCAGAAAATGACACTGTTGTATTTGAAAATATGAGAAAAGACAAAGCTCAATCACCAACTGATGGCAGTGGCAGCCCATCTGGAGTGGCCACTGCCAAGTCACTGGCTGCAGCAGGGGCGGTGTGGCTGGGGCTGCTCACTGCACAGAGCTGGTGGGAGCTGGGAACAGGTGGGAAACCCATGCGCTTCTGGGTTGGAGGGCCTGGAGTCTCACCCTCCCAGGCGTAGCTGCAGCTGCCCAGTCACTACTGTGGACCCCAGAATTCCTGCACTCTTAGGGGCCCAGGAAGCCCCACTTCCTCTACAGGCTCAGAAGAGCCTGCTCCAGCCATCTGGCCTCTCCTTGCTCTAGGACCCTGCTCTGATTTTGAAGTGACCAGCAGGGTGTACGTGCACTCAGAGCAGCACTGACACACCAGCCTCCTGCTGCCTTGTCCCCCTCCAGACTTTGGGCACCAACGAGCATGGGAGGGAGGCCAACAGGGGGCTACGGGCAGATTGGTGTGGGCCTGCAGTTGCCCCTTGGCATGAACAGCCTGGGGACCATGGGAGCCATAGGTGGCAGGTTGATGGCAGCAGGAGGCTCACAGGCTCCTGGGCAGAAAGAGGTGGGTCCCTCATGAAGCCCCACCTTCAAGTCAGGGATGGCCTGAAGCAGGAGCCAAGTTGCCAGTTCCCTGAATGGAGTAAGAACTTATGGTGCTTTTTCTGGTCCACCCATGGCCTACCATGGACCAATCAGCATGCACTTCCTCCCCTCTGAAGCTCATAAAAACCCCAGGCTCAGCCAGACTTTGTCAGATGACAGGATGACCTGCCTGTGAGTAGGAACTACACACTCCAGGTCTCCTCTTCACTGAGAGCTACACTCATCAGGAAAACCTGCCCGCAGAAAGGAGCTACCTATTTTGGGTCTCCTGAGAGCTGCACTATTGCTCAATAAAGCACCTCTTCTCCTTGCTCACCCTCCAGTTGTCCAGGTACCTCACTCTTCCTGGACACGGGATGAGACCTGCCAAATGGTGGAAGTGAAAGCTGTAACACAAACAGGGCTGAAACACACACCCCCACTAGCCATGTTGCTGGTGAAGAGAAGGAGAGAAGAGCTGTGACTCTTCGGAGATCCCAGACCCGGGAGCTTCCTGAGCCAGGGTTGTGACACACTCTTTGGGGTACTGCAGTTCCTGGCATCTCCAAGCTTCCAGGTGCCACTGCATTCCCTAGTGCCCTCAGTGGAACCCACTTGCAATATGCCTAGTCTGGCTGCAGCCTCGCGGAGAGCCAGTGCCTTTGCCAGTGCCTGGAGCTGCCTGCCCCTCCACAGCTGGCATGCTGGGCTGTGTGAAGTGGCTGGACCCTAGGTTCACTCACTCATGCACCCCACACTGCGACCCTAGGTTCACTCACTCATGCACCCCACACTGCTGCACACCTGGCTCACCCATGGCAGGTGTCAGATCCGGGCTGATAGTGCAAGCTGAGCACAGTTTGCCAGGCCAAGTGGGTGGAATGAGCCCAGTGGGCCTGAGTAAAACTTGGGCAAAGGTGCCACTGGCCAAAGAGGATTCCTGCTGGTGAAGTGACACCCCCAGGATCCCGTGACACAAGTAAAGTTTTATTTGTTAGGATGTGATAAAAGATGAGGAGGCAAAGAAAGTAAAAACTTAGTAAATTATGAAAACTTTGCAATGTCTTCCACATTAGGATAGCAAGATGACTTTCAGTATCTATTTAAATATTTTACTGTGTGTAACACAGCCTGAAGTGTACTGTGCCTTTTAGAGTTGATTCAGGATTCTGGACAGCCATCCTTCAAAGCCAGTATTCTCTATGCTACTTTCTCATCTACCATAAGAAATCCAGAGAACATACTCTAGTCTTAAAAGAGGCAGAACATGCCATTAATGAAAAGAACACTGATTCCATAAAGTTTCATTCATGTTTTAATTTTGACATATCTTGTCCTTAAAGTTCAAGCTGCTCTTTCTTTCAGGTTGCTTTGATGATGCTTCATGATTTAATTCTACATGACATTGTGTTTAAAGTGCTTAGCTCAGTGTCTGACCAACAGTTCAATAAATGCTTAACAATACTTTTTCTTAACTGTAGTATCATCATTTTATTTAATGTATTTCCATGGACTTAACATTCAAAACTATTATTAATTTTAAAATAATTTCAACATTTATTATATATATATTTAATATATATTTATTTAAAGCCATTCCATTATACTATATATTTTATAAGTTCATAGTGGTCCAAAATATAATTTAATTAATACTTAACATTATATTTTCATCTTTTTAAAAATTGCTTACAAAATAATCATGATAGGTATTATAGGAGTTTTGATAAACAATAATTTATCTTCTGATTTCAGAGTCACAGTGGTCAAACATCTCAGGACAAAAATTATCTAATCCAGAAAAGAATTATGTTGGCAACTATGCTTGCCTAATTAACCATAGCATTGCCACACAAAACATACTAAATAGAGGAAAATATATTGTATAACTTCATGTGACAATGAACATAGATCTTAATATGTTTTATGAATATGTATATTTACACTAGTTATTGCTTTTATATTTCTCTTAGACACACCCACCTATCATCCCATGGAAATATTGTTTGAATATTATTGAAAAATAAAAGTTGCATATACATGTGATTAAAAAGTTAAAACAATATAATCCTTAGCATAAAGTTATCCTCTTTTAAATGGCTCCTGCATCTACTTCTGGAAAGATAAACCACATCTTCCTATTACCTGTTTGTTTGTTTCTAATTTTCTCCTCTTAAATTTTCTTTGTAGTATAAATTACATATATTTTTTCTGTATTTTAGCTTTTAATAGTAACCATAAATCTTAAGAATATTCCATATCAGCACATGCAGATATAACTTATTAGTTACACTGCTGTAAATGATCAATTACTCAGTTTATTTATCAACATTTTAGATATAAACTGATTGTTGTTATTTCAAGTTAAGCTAAATCATAATACATCTTGGATAACTTTTATGAGTACATTCATGAAAGGTAATGTCTTCATAACAGAGTTGCTGTGTCAACCGTTACATGTATTAAAATTTTACGTTTTAGTAGATAATACCAAATTGCTTTCCAGAAAATTTGTACCAAGTTATACTTACAACTAATTGTATTTTACCATACCGATTTCCCCATATTTAAGTATAATATAAATATTTTAATTTAAATTATAGTTTACCAAATGAAAGCAGTAGTACTGTGCTTGGAGACCAAAGGGCTCATACAACTAATCTGTATGCTTGTGAATCATATCTGCCACAATAAAATATATTCTCACAGGAAAGCCTTTTTTCTTTCCTGTGCAATAAGCTATTACTCTGGTATCTCCTGTTATTTGTGAGGGTAGAATAAGAAGTAAGGCTTATGAATCTGACAAAGCTTTGGTTAAAATCTATATTGATACAAAGCTCATTCACTTTGCATTTGCTTAAAAATACTCTAACTTCATTTGGGTGGGTTACCTGCATAAGGTTCACTTGAATTCTACTTGTCATCCACCCCCACTGTTTTCCCAGAATTGCTTCTATCAAGAATATTGGAAAATATCTAGAAGCCTGAAGCTTTCCCAAGGCTGCTTTATACTGGAATGCAAGGTAGTGATTGATATGAGACACTATCATTCGCAGAAACTCTGCAAAATAAAGATTAGTTTCTCCATCAAAATCAGTGTAACTTTCACCAAGGGAGTGCTCAGGCAAGTTTCAATAACTTCACATTTTTCCTCAGATTTTATTAGGAGCAACTGAGTTATGCAACTATTGGAATGTTGTTGCACTGACCCACCCCTGCCCAAGTTCACTTTCTGTAACTTAAAAATGTCATAAACAGCAAAAGGCAAAACAAAACAAGATAAATTTTTTGAATTTTATATTGCAGCTATAAGCTAGACTGTTCATATATAGATACAAAAATGTTAAAAGTCCCAGTGTTTTAGAGTGAAATGACATGAGCACCTGTTTTCAGAAATAACTTTTTAATTATATGACATATTTCCCATTGATTAACTTAAAATGTGAGTAATGAGTTCTAAATTAGATATTGGTATCCTTCAGGCTAGTAGTTTTTCTAAGCATAAAATTCTATTGAACCTGTGTCTGGCTTACTGTACATGAGAATAGAGTGCAATCCATTATCAGGGAAGGCAAAGCCATTAGACTCCTCATGCATTCAATTAGGCTATTACTTTATCTATCTTAATTGATACTGCTAATAGTATCATATATAATTGCTCTACATAGAAGAAAATGTGCTTGTTAATGAGTCTTGGCTAATTCAAAGAATGACATTTAAATACTACTAGTAAAACTGTACATAGGTCCAAAATCAATATGTGACCTCTCCTTAGTCTTACAGCAGGTGGTGGAAAACAGTAATTTAAATTGGTTGATGATAATTTAAAATGAATTCCAGTGTATTTCAGTATGTTTTCAGGTCAATAAGTTTTGTTTTGTTTTCTTTTTCTTTTTCTTTTCAGGAATTATACAGAAATATAAATTTGAGATATATATCAATGACCAAATAGTCCTAAAATTGAAATCACTGTTTTATATAAACCTCTGTGCTTATGTTACAAGAAATAGGCTCAAAGAAAATTTCAGATCTTAACAAATGTAAACAAGTCAAAACAACTAGAAATATTAATACTCTCCAGCCTCTTTGAACTTAAAAAATCTACTGTGTGCAGTAAAATACTGGGTAGAAATATGAAGACTAGAGACTATGTTTTAAATATATGACATCTAAAAATATTGGTCTTCAGTTAATACAAGTTGCCTCATAAGTGTAAATTAAGCATTTTTTTCTAGCCTTTTAACTCTTTTCATCAATAAAATGCTATTTAACCCAGCTTTATAAAATACAATAGTTTCTTTCAAAGAAATAAGTTATGCAATGCAAAAATATCTCAGGGGCACGCCGACGCAGAATGTAGTCTTGAAGTCCATTGTTCTGATACTAAGGGTGAAGTATGTTCTGAATCTGGAGAAGAGAACTCCCCAATTCTCTGCAGTAGGTAACTGTACATGGGGAGGATGGGTCCTGGGGAGAGAACAAAGGGTCATAGGATATTTTTGTTTGAAAGATATACTCTCCTACTCCTTAGAATTGCCTGGTAAAATGTTTATTAAATTTTGTTTTATTAAGTCATAGCACTGTTGTAACTGAAAAGAAATTCAGCTGTAAAGAAATTTAGGTCTTAGAAAGATCATTTGATTTGTCCAAGGCCTTATCTAACCAGTTATTCCTTAAAATAGAATTGGATTCAGTATTCTTGAGAACATACTTTAATTTTTGGTGGGGTACTTAGATCACTGAACCATGAACTCAATTTAGAAAAAAATTGCATAATATTGTGCTTTTTCAGTCAATTTAAGTAACGCATTTGACATGTTTTCAATCTGGAGAGAGCATATTTACAGTCACTTTGCAAAAGCAGTTTTAAAAATGCTTCATTTCTGACACTAAGTGCCCTCGCTTCAGACCTTTATACATGTTATCAAGTATTTCTACTAGTTCTTCCCAATGGAAACCACGAACAGCCTACAGCATTTTTACTGACTTTCACTCTCTGAACAGTTATTTTGCTACTAGACTGGAAAATGAGTGAAGAAAAAATTGGCAAAAAAGGGCATATCTCTATTTTCCAGCTCAGTAAGATTCTCTAAATGTGACATAAATTCTAAGTGGTACAGCATATAATATTTGAAGAGTGCTGTGGACTTGAACACTAGATATGTCTGTTTCTTTTTACAGATAAAAAAAATTGAAAACATAGAGGACATTTCAAACTTTATTGCAAAATCACAAATATGTAATTATCCTACAGCTATTCTTTGTTTTGTTCAGAACAGATTGATAATTGAATAACACATGCTCATTATGAGAAAATCTCAGTTTTTTCCTTATGGGTAATCACCTCTATTTCTGTGTCTTATTTCTGTTTCTCTGAACATGGTTTTGACTGGAATTTAGTTGTTTATTTTTGGGGAAGGAGACAAAATATCTATACCATGTACAAGATATAGTGTGGACTGATGTTTTAATTATTTTTCCTTTTATCACAGAACTATTACAGGCAGTTTTAAATATCTAAAAACTCCAGTGTATGTGCTGAGATCAGCTACTGAAGTGCTTATCAGAAGTGTATTTACAGTTAACTTAGGCTACACAAAACCAGGAAAGTTTCAGAAGGTAATATTTGCTTAAAAATACTCTAACTTCATTTGGGTGGGTTACCTGCATAAGGTTCACTTGAATTCTATTTGTTATCCACCCTCACTGTTTTCCCAGAATTGCTTTTATCAAGAATACTGGAAAATATCTAGAAGCCTGAAGCTTTCCCAAGGCTGCTTTATGCTTGAATGCAAGGTAGTGATCGATATGAGATGCTATGATTTGCAGAAACTCTGCAAAATAAAGATTAGTTTCTCCATCAAAATCAGCGTAACCAGTATAGATGCCAGGTTAAAATACACCAGAAAAAGAACTCATTCATACAGGTGGGTAAGCATAGCTCTAGAGAAAGAAAAGTATGATGTCTTAACATATTGCTTTTGGATCTTCCTGCATTCTTTTAAGTGCTTGCTCAGTCCCTTCAATATAAACCACATCTGTCTCATATTTGGTAGAAATGTTCCTAAAATTTTAATAAAAATATTTTACATTAACTACATCACTTTTATACCCTCCTGACATTCTCAATTAAGTCTCCAGATGTATAATAAAAGCACCAAAAATAAATAATACATAAAAACTAAATTTAAATAGTTCAAGTTTGAAAGAAATAATTTATGATTTTATCTATAGATGTACTGATAAAAGCATATTTGGAAAATCTAGGTGACCTTGGGTTAGGCAATGACTTCTTGATACAATACCAAAACATAATTCGTGAAAGAAAAAAATTGATAGGTTGAAATTCATTGAAATTGAAAACTTCTGCACTGCAAAAAAAGTGTCAACAATAATAAAACAAGTCATAAATTGGGAAATAGCATTTGCAAAACATATATCCGATAAAGGACTGGTATCCAAACCTTACAAAGAACTCTCAAAACTCAACAGTAAGAAACCAAGCAACATATTTTCAAAAACATGGGTAAAATATCTGAACAGTTTACCAAAGAAGACATATAGATGGCAAAAATGCTCAATATCATATGCCATTAGGATATTACAAATTAAAACCACAATTAGATACCACTATACACTTATCAAAATGATCAGAATTCAAAACAGACAACACCAAATTCTGGTGAGAATGTGAAGCAACAGGAAATCACATTTGTTGCTAGTGGGAATGCAAAATGCTATAGCCTTTTTGAAAGACAGTTTGGTGGTTTCTTATAAAACTATACATTCTCTTACCCTTTGATCCAGCAATTGTTCTCCTTGTTATTTACCTAAATGAGTTGAAAACCTTTGTCCACATAAAAATGTGACCACTCCCATGTTTATAAGCAGTCTTATTTGTAGTTGTTGAAAAATGGGGGGAAAAAACAAGATATCCTTCAACAGTTTAATAGATAAGCAAATTGATTTATCTGTACAATAGAATATCATTCAGTGATAAAAAGAAAAGAATGAGTTATCAAACCGTGAAAACATATGGAAAAAACCTTAAATGCATATTGTTAAGTGAAAGAAGCCTATCTGAAAAGAGTGCATACAATGTAATTCCAACTATTTGACATCTGGAAAGGGGAAAACCATGAAACAGAGAAAAGATAAGTGGTTGCCGTGGGTTCTGCCAGGGGAAGGAGGAATTCATAGGTTGAGCCCAGAGGATTTTTAGGGCAGTGAAACTGCCTGTGTGATATGGCAATGGTGGATATGTGTCATTGTATGTTGTGCATTCTTCAAAATCTGTAGAATGTACAACACAAAGAGTGAAACTTAAACTACAGATTTTAAATAGTAATGTATCAATATTATCTCATCAATTATAACAAATGTACTGCACTAATGCAGGAAGTTAACAGAGGAAACATAGGGTAAGAAGGTATAATGAGGTATGTAGGAACTCTCGGAACTATCTACTCAATTTTTGTGTTAATTTAAAACTGCCATCAAAAATAATGTCTATACAAAAATGTGTATTTGAGTCACTATTGCAATACCTATTAACTATGTGATCTGTTGCATTATAATTTAATCCTTTAAGTCTTGTGTTTTAGTTCATAGCTTTCAGAATAAAAAAAGTAAAATTTACACATTGTTTTTACTAAAATTAAAATGCATTTAAAATTTATGATGCTGTGTCTAATATATACTAAGTGCCCAACAAATGGTAGCTAGTTTTATTATTATGAATAATTTTCTTACTCAATCGATTTATTTTTAATACCATAAAAATAAATTCTGTCTTAGGGTTGATTATGTTGCAACCACATATGCATTTCAAAAATTAGGAAAAACTGTGCTAATACACTCTCCATCCTCTGTTGTTTTCCTGTTGCAAGCAAAATATTCCCTAAATTAATGAGGAATATTCTTGCCAGGCAGAAATAGATAGACGATAGATAGACAGATAGAAAATAGTCAGACAGACAGGTAGATAGATAGATAGATAGATAGATAGATAGATAGATAGATAGACAGACAGATAGGCAGACAGAACTAATCCTGCTGTTGATAGCTAGCTAGACAGGGGAGAGTGAATCTGCCCCTCATCTGATTATAGGCTGACAAGTTGCTTTCCACCTACCTTTTTTTTTGTATCTTGTTCTCTGTCTTACTTCTATTGATGGAAGATTGTGGGACTGTACCTGTACCTACTCTTTTTTATGGGTTTGATCCATGTTCTGAAGCAGGATGCTCTAATTGGCTCTTTCTTGCCTGGACCCAAGGTATTTGAGCACCAAGTATGAAATTTGAAATTAAAGAAAATTCTAAAGTCTAATCTATCTGCTCAAATAACTTTATCTTAACCAAATATTTGTCTCATTTCAATGTCATACTCTAAAAAACATATTTCTGTGATGAAAGAAAATTTGTATGTTAAGTATTATTAAATTTCTTAAACAGGGAATGTGTACTATGATTTGATTTCAGCCTGTTTTACGCTGATTTCTGTGTAACTATTGATGACAATAATTTCTAGGAAGTGGGGTGCAAATCTTTTTTTTCTCAAAAGTGCAAATCTTAAATATCACCACAACTTCTCATGGGTGTGATGAGGTAAATGATATATACTCAAGTTAAATTTTAACTTTCTCCTTACTTTAAAATAAAAACAAAAGAAAATTTAAAAAATATATACACATATGTATGTATATGTCATATATATGTGTGTGCATATATATAAATATATATATATATATATATATATATATAGCATTCATGGAATATACTACAGTATTCCCCCCTTATCCATGGTTTCACTTTCCAAAATTTCAGTTACCCAGCATCAATTGCAGTCTGAAACTGCTAAATAGAAAATTCCAAAATTAAACATTCATAAGTTTTAAATTGCACGATTATGAGTAGCGTGATGAAATCTCATGCGTTTCATTCCATTCCACGCAAGACATGAATCCTCCCTTTGTCTACTGTATCCATACTATACATGCCACCCTCTTATTAGTCACTTAGTAGCTGTCTAAGTTATCAGATCTACTGTTGTGTTCTCACAGTGCTGGTGTTCAATTAACCCTTATTTTACTTAATAATGACTCCAAAGTGTAACAATGTTGATGCTGACATATTGTTATAATTGTTCTGTTATTATTATTGTTATTAATCACTTGCTGTGCCTAATGTATAAATTAAACTTTATCATAGGTATGTGTGTATAGGAACAAACACAGAATATATAGAGCTCAGTACTATTCATGGTTTCAGGCATCCCCTGGGTGTCTTGGAACGTATTCCCCAGGGACAAAGAAGGGGTACAGTATCATCTGCCCTACTGAGGATTCCACACATAATGAAAGAAGAAGTCTTACATCTTACGAGTTAGTTAGAGAAAAATAATAACTTTTCAAAGGTAGAGTCAAGGTGAGAAATTATATTATTTGACGTCTTATTGAATCCTGAAAGAACTATATGATTCATTTTTCCTGAAACAAAATCATTGATATGTCCCTCTAGTATGGACTGAATGTTTGTGTCACTGTAACACTCACTGTGAAGGTATCTGGAGAACAGGTCTTTGGAAGGTAATTAGGGTTAGATGAGGTCATAAAGATGGGCTCCTCATGATTAGTGTTCTTAAAAGAGGAGACACAGGAGGGCTTAGTCTCTCTCCCTCTGCAAACATAAGAGCATACAGAGGGAGCATACAGTGAGATCATAAGAACATACATGAGAAGACCATCTACAAGCCAAGAGAAGATGCCTCAGAATAAAACCCACTTCACCAGAACCTTCCAAGGCCCTAGAGCTGTGAAAAATACATTTCTGTTGTTTAAGGCACTCAGCCTTTGATATTTTGTTATGGCAGCCCAAGCAGACTAACACAGCCTCCCATTATCTGACACATTTTATTAATAAAGTTATCTCTATAACACTTATAATTCACTCTCTAACAGCACATTATATGTGATATCAGCACATCTAGAAGGTAATCTTCTAGGGATTTGTCTCATTTATCCCTACATATCTAGTAATTAGAACACTGTCTGGCTATTGTGGGTACCAAATAAACAGTTTTGAAATAAATCAGTAAAAAATCAAGAGGCTAAAGCCATCTTCTGCAGAATTCAATTATTGGCTTAACTTTCTGTGATCATTTCTTGTTCTGTTTTGTCATTAAAATATATTCTGAGAATACATTTACCAGTGAAAAATCTTAAGATTCTTTAACAAGCATGTCTATACCTCCTTGCTTCAATATAATGATGAAGAGGACAGGGGCAGAGAAAGAGGGAGAATACTGTGTTATTGAAGATTGAATAATACCTTATAAGACTACTAAATGGAACCTTTGCGAACCCTCAATCAATGTAAGAACTAAAACATAGCTAACAATCTTGAAGTTCACCGTATGCTCCTTCACGATCCTATATCCCATTTTGCTGGCTATCCTTCATATGACTAAGCTCACATTCATATTTTCATCACCCTGTCTCTCAGTCCTCTATTCCAATATATTTATTTACTTCTACCTTCCAATTAATGATTCTGTTTTTGCTTGCTGATTTTAACTTCATCATCATCTTCTTCTTCATTTTTTTTTTTTTTTTTTTAGATGGAATCTTACTCTGTCGTCCAGGCTGAAATGCAGTGGCATGATCTCGGCTCACTGCCACCTCCCTCTCCTAGGCTCAAGTGATTCTTCTGCCTCAGCCTCCGAAGTAGCTGGGATTTCAGGCTCCCGCCACCACGCCCGGCTAATTTTTGTATTTTCAGTAGAGACGGGGTTTCATCGTGTTGGTCAGGCTGGTCTCAAACTCCTGAACGCAGGTGATCTGCCCGCCTCGGCCTGCCAAAGTGCTGACATTACAGGCATGAGCCACTGCACTCAGCCTTCATCTTCATTTTTAAATGTGTCAGGCTTAGATGTTTTATATTCTTGTAATATAATTCTTTATGTATTATTTATATAATCTAAAGCTACAGTTTCTGCTGAAGCTCATTATAAGACATATTCTTTCATGGTTGATTATTCTCTTTTTACTGGTCCAACATATTAGATTGTACCCAATTTGTGACAACACTAAGAGACTAAATTAGAAATTCTTTCTCCCAAGAATTGAGATTTGCTTTTGTCCAGGAGTCAATGGGCACTGACGCAACCATGTGGCATGCTGTGGGGGCCCTAGTTTAATGTGGGCATCTGAGTACTGGCTCCTACATGTTGTTGCTGACCGCAGGCTTAGTCTCTTAATCCCAAAGCAAGTATCTGTAGCTTCAACACTAGTTTTGTGTTTGCTTATTGCTCATAATTCAGGTCTTTGCCTTTTGTTTGATTTGTTTATGTTTATTGCAAACCCAGCAATGTTTTAAACATTAGAAATAGAATGGTTTTTTAACCTTTTTTATCTTGTTAAAGTTAACTCTCATTTTTCTGCATTGCAGAGCTCTAACTGCTGTGCATATCTAGTTAGGCCCACATTCTTGAAAATGTGTGCCCCGGATCCAGGAAAGAATGTGGGACTGTGTATATATGCACACTCACGCACATACATCTTGCAAAACTTCATTTATCTCTTCCAGGAATTTCCTGAAGCCCTACTCTAAAGGAACCCTTGGCTACCTTTTTGTGACAATCAAAAGACTTTCTCTTACTATCTTCTGAGAATATTTTCCCTCAAAAATATTCCTTCTTGGCAATAGATCATTATCAATGGCCCTTTCTCAGTTTTGCTGCTATTAGCAATCACCGACTGTGGTAATAACAGAGGCACAGGCATCAAACTTGCTTCCCTGCAGCTGGGAGATTGGAATGCATTTGTTCCCCCTCCTCTAGTCCACCTTTTCCCTCGGCCCACAGGACTAACTGTGCAAGGCTTTATCTAAAGAAAATAAATTAATTCTCTGTAGGAACGATAGTTTAATATCTAAGTATCTTAGAATTTCACCTAGATCTCTCTGGTGAGTAACCCCCTTTTAAATACTTAGAGTTTCACAATAAAGAATACCCTGTGGACATTTCTTGCTTCTATTCCTGACCTGGCTTTTATGCCCAATTGATAGCATTTTCTTCAGTTCTCTTAGACCACCAGTCCTACTACCCTTCTTTGAAAATATTCAATCTCCTCTATAGGAAGACACCGGGTTCTTTAAGCAGTCTTCTTTCTCCTTTTTCCCTAATAAAGTTTTATTCTTTTTCATGTGGTCTCCATCAAAACTAATTACCGTCACCTTTTTTCACTTCTTGTTAGAGAGGTTAGGTGTTGGAATGATGAGAGGCAGATGATGAGGAGAGGACTTTTTATGCCTCAGTGCCATGGGCTATGATTAATGTGTCCCTCACTTTGCTATTTCTCACTTTCCGCCTTTGAGTATTAAGGTCCTCCAGGTTAACTTGTTAAAGCCACATTCACTTTTTCCTAGAGAAAAATTTGGTAAATTAAGGAAAACAAATATTGCCTAGTGGTGATACTGTTTACTTACCCAAAGAAAAATGTATTTATTTTACTGAAAGGTGCTTCACTCCTTTCTGTGCTTTTTTGAGATTAACATGAACACAAATGAGCTTATTGAATTACCATGGCAATATTCTTGTTAAAAGAAATAATGACACTCTCGATTAATTTCTTTTGATTCCTTTTTTGATAGAAGACTAGAAGGGGTTATTACATTCTCAAGCAGTACTTGTTACTAGATAACAATATGCCCAAACTAAGGCCACCTGATCACGTTCTCCAGCTCCTCTTCTCTCAGTTCCTTGCTTTGTACCTTCCTCCACCTGATATAAGTCTTTTCTTGCTGCATCTGAGGATTCTCCCTTCTCAGTCATTGGATATTCAAGCAATGAAACTCCAGTTGGCATGGACAAAAACTTTCTCATAGTTATGTATGGCCTTAAAAGCAGTCCTTGAAGACAGTGTTGCATTAGTCTGATTTGCCTCACAAGTACATCTTAAACTATTTCTAAGAATTCATCATGAACATTTTTGATATAGCAAATAATATCCACAATGATTTTTAAATAAAGTCTCCATTATGGAAAAAAAACTTGATTAACTTTTGTAAACCTGTTAATAGCCTGCTTCTTTTCATACCATCTTGAATTAAAGACTACCCTGTTGAAGATGACGGCTTGAATACTACGTGTACTTCCTAAGTCCTCTCCTTTCGCAGACTCTTGGAAATGGCATTTATATGGACTTTATATATAATAATAATTGTAGTCAGAGAAAAGCTAATAGAAAATGATGTAGCTTTATATATTAAACAATCCCTTTGTGTTCTTTTTTTTAATCATTATATTTTTTCTATTTCAGAATATATGGATTTTGTTGTTTTCACCAGTCTATACACTATATCATTAGATTTCCATCAGAAACTTTCTATAGAATTAGTTTTTAAAAATATTATCAGAGGATGTTCCTGAAAGAATACATTTCTAGAGTTAGAGAATAGGCCCATAGGTGTACATTTAGATGAGGTTAATATTAGGTATGATTACATAATATGTAAAACATCTGAAAGTATATAAAATCCTTCTTAAATAATTTTAATTATATATTCTATGCTAACTGAGTAAGGCTTATCTTTCTATTTGATATGTTATATATTTTATAAGGTTTGTTTTTTAGCAGTGGTTCTCAAAATAAAGTCCCCAGATCAGGAGCATCAATATCATTAGGGAACATTTTAGAAAGGCAAATTTTCTCAGCCCCACCTGGAACTCAGAATAAAATGGGAAACATAAGGATAGGAGCCCAATAATGTGTGCTTTAATAAGCCCTCCATGTTATTCTGATGTATGAAATTTGGGAACCATTGCTTTAGTGCTACTATGCCTAAATTATCAAGGCTTTCCTTCAGTGAAGAAAATCACTGATCTCTCTTTAGTTGCTTTTTCTATCCTCTAAAGCCATGTATAACAGAAAGCAGTCTCTTTTATGACATGTAGCTTTGAAAACTTACTGCATAAAAATGAGTCTGAAGCATTAGAAGCCCAAGACAATAAAAATATACCTGAAAACAGGTTTAATTTAAAAATCCACTATTTTATGCTTTCACTTCTATCAAATACTCAATTTATCCAATATAATCTACAATATTTCATAATTTAAAAAGCTTTGTTTTATCTTATCCCTAGTCTTTTTATTGTAAATTCCATTGGTATATTTTCTATTTTGGAAAAACTTTGTAGCTGCAAGAGAATTTGTGGTTTCAATTTGAGGAAATGTGAAAATGAATCAAGATAATCTAAATCAACTGTCTACCTTCCTTCCTAAAACCCCATTTATTAAATATATGTTTTATACATCTGTAAAATCACATTTTAAGTCCTATGTTAATATGTTATATATATAATTCCATGTAACATTATATAACAAATACCATTTATATGCATAAACTGAATTATATAATTATATATATAATATGTTTGTGTTCATGTGTGCACATGCATATGTGTTTCATAAAAGTTTTGAAAAGACAAGAATAGTTACAGGGAGACTGAGCATGCCAATATATAAGACATAAAGAATGGAAACTGGTGTGGCTTAAAGCCCAGTACGAAACCCAAAAGATTTTCTTTGAAATGACACGCTGAAAGGTTTAAATCCAGGAGTCTTCAAACAAAAAGAGCAAGAGGAAGTTCTGCAATGTAAACAGTATGTCAGCCAAACCTTTCTTTCTCCTCTATCAATCCTGAGAAGAACGCAGCAAGGACATTTGCCACCAGGGTAAAAACCAAACCAGATTTTCAAACTAACTAGGAAGTGTTGTAATATAACTTTGGTAGCTCAAAAAAATTGAAGAGCACAGTTTGATGTAGTTTTCTTCACCCCCATCCATACAGGAAGAACAAGTGGAGGTAGAAGTATGGCACTCTAGTCTCTGAAGAGGCTGTATGACAAACAAGACATTAGGGTAGACATTCAAGTAGCTTCTGAGGTCTGTGAGTGTCAGTGAAGCAAGCTTATTGAACCTACTTCTTAACTCTCCCTCACAATGACAAGAAGCAGGCCGCTGCCATCAGTTCTGGTTATTAAACTTTTCTGTCTGAACCTTAAATGTAGCCATTAATACTGCGCTTTGTGATTTTGGGGACTGGGACCCTGCAAATGGCATTGTTCCTTTCTCAGCCAGCTTTCCCATGGGATTTTCCAGTGTGAGGTTCTGGAAAGACATCGTGGTGCTAGAGAGACACATGACCTGCAATTTCTTTTAAGCTTCCTGTTTTGTAGTCTTTGTCACCCCAAAATTTCCTTCATTCTTTCAGCATAATAATATTCTTTCATAAATACCAAGCCACCTAGGCAGAATTTTCTCAGTAATCTGGGTCCCACCAACATGGAGCTCTTCCTCCAACTCTACCTTAGGAGAATGGATTAAAAATTGTAGTAAATATGTACAGCAGAACACTGCTCAGCAACCAAAAAAAAAAAAAAAAGAACAACTGCTACATGGATAAATCTTACAGAAATGTTATGGAGTAAAAGAAACCAGACACAAAATAATATATATTTAATGATTGAATCTGTATATAAGTTCACAAACAACATGGATTTATGCTGACAAAAGTCAAAATGATGTTTTCCTCTGCAGGGAATGTCAAGCAAGGAGGATGTGAGAAACTTCTGGGTTTCTGAAAATATACTCTATGTATCCGTCTGAGATGTTGTTGTACAGGTGCCTGCATATATCAAATCTATAAAGCTCTATGTTTATAATTGGTACATTTTATGCAATTAATGCACTTTATGCACTTACTATATGTTATATCACAAAAGCAAGACAAATTAAAATGATAATAAGTCATATGGCTTTTGTTTTCACATTGGATTATTTCTGACATAAATATTTGGGGAAAGTCAATACCATTAATACTTGGTTCTGAACTCAAAATTTCTGCAGCAATAACAAAAATAATATTGAAAAAGTAAAACAAATAAATCTCTGCAGAACAGAAAAGATAAAATACAAATTTAATAAACATTACTGAAGAAAATCTACAAAGAATTATTGTTCATTCAGACATATTGAAGTAATTATATATTTACATTTACTTTCTGTTATTCTTGAGTGCTAGTTCACAATGGGTTTAGAATTCTTGTTTTTAAGCCAAATCAACTTAAAATGTTTAAACGAATATAAATTTGAAACAAAAAATGAAAATGTGTTTTATAAATGCAGTAGAAAGCAAACATTATAAAAAAAGATAGTTAAGAATACCAGTTCCATCATATACCAAATATTAAAAACAATAAGGTCTTACTATTTATGACAATGAAGGTGGTGGTGAACTGGAAGAAATGGAGTGAAAGGATGCTACAGTTTTTTGTTATTAATTCAAAATATTTATAGAAAATATAAAGCTTAAATATGTTTTAAATAATCAAAGAATAGAAATATATATAAACAAATTTTAAGAGGGAGAGAAAAGGTAGACATCTTGAACAATTCCAAGATAAACATGGTAAGAAGTTAAAGGATAATATGAAAAAGAAAAATAAGATGTTAAAAACATTTTTAGAAATATTATGTGTGAAATGATTATATTCCCTATTATATTCTAAGACTTAAAAAGTTTAAAATAAAACAAAAACAACTAAACAAATCACATCGATATACAACGTACGCTATATATAAGGAATATCAAGTAAACAAAGTGACCAGAAATGATAAAAATATAGAACCAGAAAATATACACCAGGCAAGTATTAACAAATAGGTAACAGGTGTGTAAATATAAATATTAGACAAAGTAGAAGCCAAGGCAAAATCTTAGAAAGGTCAAATAAGTATTTTATGTTGAGAATGGGTTATCTATTAAGGTAACAAATTACGAGACTGTATTGATGTATGAAATTAACTTTGAAATAAATTACAATCATAGAACATGGAACATGAAACTGGCAAACATAATCTTAGTAAAAAAGTTCAAATAATGTTAAATTAGCTCAAGAAAAACGAAAGTATTTGCAAGCTTAGAAATATTTCAGTAACATAATTTATTCACACAAAGTCATATATGCACATATGATTTTATGATACATAGATTTTTACATGCATATTTATATTTAAATTAGTTTGCTAAGAATAATGGCCTCTGTATGGTGTCAGTCTGTGGCCCAGGGTTGGGGACTCCTTTATAAGCTCATTTAATGCTATTAGAAACTTCATGAGGGAAATTTTATTTTTTCTTTTCCAATCTATATAGTTTTTCTTTCTGTTCCCTTCTCTCTCTTCATCTCTCCCTCCCTCCCTTTCTTCCTTTCTTCTTTCCATCTGTTCTTCCTTTCTGTCAGTCTGTCTCAATGTACTGGCCAGGACATCTAGTACGATGTCAAATAGGAATGAAGATCTTTGTCCCTTGCCTTATTCCTGATCTTAGAATAAAATAAATAAAATTACTATCTTACCTATAATGATGATGTTACCTGTAGGTTTTTTGTAAATGTTATTTATGTTTTGTAAATGTTATTTATTGTTTCAAGAAATTTTCTCTATTCATTGTTTGTTGAGTGTCTACGTAGTAAATAAGTACTGAATTGGATCAAAAGACATTCCTCAATAATATGCTCATATAATTTTACTTCTTTAGCCAGTTGACACTGTTAATTTAAATGATTAACATTTAAGTGATAAAGCAGTCTTACATACCTGGAAAATATCCTATTGGTCTTGGTGTGTAATTCTTTATAACATCATTGGAAGCAATTTACTAACACTTTTGAGGATCTTTGTGTCTATACTCATGATATTTATTGTCTGTAGTTTTCATTTCTTGTAGTCCCTCTTTGAATTTTTGTATTAGAGTGGTGCTGGCTTCATAGAATAATATAGGTAGCATTCCCTGTGTTTCTATTTTCTACTTCAAGAGACTGTGGAGAATTTGTATTATTTATTCCTTTAAGTGTTTGAAAGGACATCCTTTCAAAGAATCCTTTGATTTATTCCTTTAATTGTTTGAAAGCACGGTTTCATCTGCACTTGGTGCTTTCTTTTTGAAGGTTTTTGAATTATTCGATCCATTTCTCTAATATATATATGTCTTAAAATTATTTTATTTTGTATGAGTTTGGTAGTTTGCATCTTTCAAGGAATCGATTTGTTTCATTTAAGTTACAAGTCTGTAGATACTGCATTTTTTGGTAGCATCCTTTTAGTATGCATGAAATAAGTTGCAATAACTACTTTTTCCTTTCTGATATTGGCAATTGGTGTCTTCTATCTTTTTTCTTTGTGAGTCTGGTAACCAATAGTTGTTTTTTCTGCTCCTCCTACCCTTCACCATCAGGTAGACCTGGGTGTCTCTTGTTCTCCACTTTGTGTTCATGAGTTCTCATCATTTAGGTTCCACTTATCAGTGAGAACATGAGGTATTTAGTTTTCCGTTCCTGTGTTAGTTTGCAAAGGATTATAACCTCCAGCTCCATTCATGTTCCCACAAAAGATCTGATCTCATTCTTTTCTATGTCTGCATAGTACTCCATGGTGTATATATACCATAATTTATTTATCCAGTCTAACTTTTATGAGCATTTAGGTTGATTCCATGTCTTTGCTATTGTGAATAGTGCTGCAGTGAACATTCATATGCATGTGTCTTTATGACAGAATGAATTATATTCCTTTCGGTATATACCAGTAATAGGATTGCTGGGTCAAATAGTAGTTCCGTATTTAGCACTATGAAGAATCGTCATACTGCTTTCCACTGTGGTTGAACTAATTTACACTCCCATCAGCAATGTATCTGTTTCCTTTTTTCTGCAACCTAACCAGCCTCTGTAATTTTTTGACTCTTTAATAATGGCCATTCTGTTATGAGATGGTATCTCATTGTGGTTTTGATTTGCATTTACCTAATGATCAGTGATATTGAGCTTTTTTGTATGATTTTTGGACACGTGTATGTCCTCTTTTGAAAAAAGTCTGTTTATTTCATTTGCCCACATTTTGATGCAGTTGTTTTTTCTTCTTAATTTGTTAAATTTCCTTATAGATACTGAATATTAGACCTTTGTTGGATGCATATTTTGCAAGTGTTTTCTCTCATTCTGTAAGTTGTCTGTTTACTCTGTTGAAAGTTTCTTTTAACTTGCAGAAGATCTTAAGTTTAATTAGATCCCATTTGTCAACTTTTGCTTTTGTTGCTATTGCTTTTGATGTCTTTGTCATTAAATCTTTGCCTGTTTCTATGTCCAGGATGGTATTGCCTAGGTTGTCTTCCAGAGTTTTTATAGTTTTGGGTTTTAGATTTAAGTCTTTAGTCCATCTTGAGTTAATTTTTTGTATATGGTATAAGGAAGGGATCCAATTTTAATCTTCTGCATGTGGCTAGCCAGATATCCTTGCATTATTTGTTAAACAGGAGTCTTTCCCCATTGCTTGTTTTTGTCAGCTTTGCTGAAGATCAGATGATCATAAGTGTGCAGCCTTATTTCTGGGCTTTCCATTTTGTTTCATTATTCTATGGGTCTATTTTTGTACTAGTGCCATGCTATTTTGGTTACTATATTCCTGTAGTATACGTTGAAGTCAGAAAACCTGATGCCTCCAGCTTTGTTGTGTTGTTGTTGTTGTTTTTTGTTTTGTTTTGTTTTTTTGCTTATGATTGCCTTGGCTATTTGGGCTGTTTTTTGATTCCACATGAAATTTAAAATAGTATTTTATAGTTCTGTGAGAAATGTTATTGGTAGTTTGATAGAAATAGTATTGAATCTGTACATTGCTTTGGTCAGTATGACCATTTTAATAATATTGTTTCTTTCTATCCATGAGCATGGGATGTTTTTTCATTTGTTTGTGTCTTTTCTGATTTCTTCTAGCAGCATTTTGTAGTTCTACTTGTAGAGGTCTTTCACCTCCCTAGTTAGATTTAATCCTAGGTATTTTATTGTTTTTATGGCAATTGTGAAAGAAAATGCCTTCCTGATTTGGCTCTTGGCTTGGCTATTTTTGGTGTATAGGAATTCTATAATTTTTGTACATTAATTTTGTATTCTGAAACTTTGCTGACATTGTTTATCAGCTGGAGGAGCTTTTGGGCTGAGACGATGGGGTTTTGTTGATATAGAATCATGTCACCAGGAAACAGATAGTTTGACTTCCTCTCTTTCTATTTGGATGTCCTTTATTTTTGTTGCTTATTGCCCTGGCCAAGACTTCCAATACTATGTTGAATAGAACTGATAAGAAAGGGCATCCTTGTCTTGCACTGGCTTTCAGAGGGATTGCCTCCAGGTTTTGCCATTCAGTATGATGTTGGCTGTGGGTTTGATGTAGACTGCTCTAATTATTTTGAGGTATGTTTCTTCAATACCTAGTATATTAAGAGTTTTTAATATGAGGGAATGTTAAATTTTATCAAAAGCTTTTCTGCATCTATTGAGATAATAATGTGTTTTTTGTCTTTAGTTCTGTTTGTGCAATGAATTACCTTTATTGATTTGTGTATATTGAACCAACCTCACATCCCAGGGATGAAGCCTACTTGATGGTGGTAGATTAGATTTTTATGTGCTGCTGGATTTTTTGCATGTATTTTGTTGAGGATTTTTGCATCAATGTTAATCAGTAAAATTGGTCTGATGTTTTCTCTTTTTGTTGTGTCTCTGCCAGGTTGTGTTATCAGAATGATGCTGGCCTCATAAAATGGGTTGAGAAGGAGTCCCTCCTTCTCATATTTTTGGAAAAGTTTCAGTAGGAATGGTACCAGTGCTTCTTTTTACATCTGGTAGAATTAAGCTGTGAATTCATCTGGTCCTGGACTTTTTCTGGTTGCTAAGCTATTTATTACTGATCCAATTTTGGGGGTTATTATTGGTCTATTCAGAGAATGAATTTCTTCCTAGTTGAGTCTTGGAAGGATGCATGTGTCCAGGAATTTATTCCATATCTTCTAGGTTTTCTAATTTGTGTGCACAGAGGTATTCATAATAGTTTCTGATGATTATTTTTATTTCTGTGGGATGAGTGGTAACATCTCCTTCATCATTTCTAATTTTGTTTTTTGGATTGTCTCTTATTCCTTATTAGTTTAGCTAGCTGCTTATCTGTCTTATGAATTTCTTAATAAAAACAACTTCTGGAGAGGGCTGGCAAGATGGCTAAATAGGAACAGCTTCGGTCTGCACCTCCTAGCAAGACCAACGCATAAGGTGGGTGATTTCTGCATTTCCAACTGAGGTACCCAGTTCCTCTCATTGGGACTGGTTAGACAGTGGGTGCAGCCCATGGAGGGTGAGCAGAAGTAGGGTGGGGCATCACCTCACCTGGGAAGCACAAGTGGTCAGGGAACTCTCTCCCCCAGCGAAGGGAAGCCATGAGGGACTGTACTATGAGGGATGGTGCTATCCAGCCTGAATACTATGCTTTTCCCATGGTTTTTGAAAGCTGCATACCAGGAGATTCCCTCGTGTGCCTATACCACCAGGGCCCTGGGTTTCAAGCACAAAACTGGGTGGCCATTTGGACAGACACCTACCTAGCTGCAGGAGTTACTTTTCATACCTCCGTGATGCGTGGAATGCCAGAGAAACAGAACTGTTCACTCCCCTGGAAAGAGGGCTGAAGCCAGGGATTCAAGTGGTCATTTTCAGCAGATCCCATGCCCACAGAGCCCAGCAAAGTAAGATCCACTGCCTTGAAATTCTTGCTGCCAACACAGCAGTCTGAAGTTGACCTGGGACATTCGAGCTTGGTGGGGGTAGGGGCATCCACTATTACTGAGGCTTGAGTAGGTGGTTTTCCCTTCACAGTGTAAACAAAGCTGCCTCAAAGTTTGAACTGTGTGGAGCCCACCACAGCTTGGCAAAGCCTTAGTAGCCAGACTGCCTCTCTAGATCCCTTCTGTCTGGACCAGGCATCTCTGAAAGAAAGGCAGCAGCCCCAGTCAGGGGCTTATAGACAAAACTCCTAACTCCCTGGGACAGAGCACCTGGGGGCAGGGGTGGCTGTGGTTGCACCTTTGGCAGACTTAAATAGTCCTGCCTGCTGGCTCTGAAGAGAACAGCAAATCTCCCACACAGTGCTTGAGCTCTGCTAGGAGACTGACTGTCTCTGCAAGTGGGTCCCTGACCCCCATGCCTCCTGACTGGAAGATATCTCCCAGCAGGGGTTGACAGACACCTCTTACAAAAGAGCTCTGGCTGGCATCTGGCAGCTGCCCCTCTGGGATGAAGCTTCCAAAGGGAGGGGCAGGGAGCAATCTTTGCTGTCCTGCAGCCCCCACTGGTGATACCCAGGAAAACAAGGTCTGGAGTTGACCTCCAGCAAACTCCAGGAGACCAGCAGAAGAGAGGCCTGACTGTGAGAAGGAAAGTTAATAAAGAGAAGGCAATAACATCAACATCAACCAAAAGGATGCCTACACAAAAACCTCATTTGGAGGTCACCACCATCAAAGATCAAAGGTAAATAAATCCATGAAGAAGAGAAAAACCCAGTACAAAAATGCTGAAAATTCCAAAAATCAGAATGCCTCTTCTCCTCCAAAGGATCACAACTCCTTGCAGCAAAGAAACCAAACTTGATGGAGAATGAGTTTGATGAATTGACAGAAGTAGGCTTCAGAAGGTAGTTAATAACAAGCTCCTCTGAGCTAAAAAAGCATGTTCTAACCCAATGCAAGGAAGCTAAGAACCTTGATAAAATGTTACAGGAACTGCTAACTAGAATAACCAGTTTAGAAAAGAACATAAATGACCTGATGGAGCTGAAAAACATAGCACAAGAACTTCATGAAGCACCCACAAGTATCAATAGTCAAATTGATCAAGCAGAAGAAAGGGTATCAGAGATTGAAGATCAACTTAATGAAATAAAATATGAAGAGAAGATTAGAGAAAACAATGAAAATGAACAAACAAAGCCTACAAGAAATGCGGGACTATGTGAAAAGACCAAACCTACATTTGATTGGTATACCTGAAAACGACAGGGAGAGTGGAACAAAGGTGGAAAACACACTTCAGGATATTATCCAGGAGAACTTCCCCAACCTAGCAAAACAGGCCAATATTAAAATTCAGGAAATACAGAGACCACAAAGATACTCCTCAAGAAGAGCAATCCCAAGACACATAATCATCAGATTCACCAAGGCTGAAATGAAGGAAAAAATGTTAAGGGTAGCCAGAGAAAAAGGTCAGGATACCTACAAAGGGAATCCCATCAGAGTAACTGTGGATCTCTCTGTAAAAACTCTACAAGCCAGAAGACAGTGGGGGACAATATGCAACATTCTTAAAGAAAAGAATTTTCAACCCAGAATTTCACATCCAGCCAAACTAAGCTTCATAAGTGAAGGAGAAATAAAATCCTTTACATAAAAGCAAATGCTGAGGAATTTTGTTACCACTGTGCCTACCTTACAAGAGCTCATGAAGGAAGCACTAAATATGGAAAGGAAAAACAGGTACGAGCCAGTGCAAAAACATATCCAAATGTAAAGAACATCAACACTATGAAGAAATTACATCAACTGATATGCAAAATAACCAGCTAACATCATAATGACAGGGTCAAATTCACACATAACAATATTAATCTTAACTGTAAATGGGCTAAATGCCCCAATTAAAAGACACAGACTGGCAAATTGGATAAAGAGTCAAGACCCATCAGTGTGCTGTATTCAGGAGACCCATTTCACCTATAAAGACACATGTAGGCTCAAAATAAAGGGATGGAGGAATATTTACCAAACAAATGGAAAGCAAAAAAAGCAAGGGTTGCAATCCTAGCCTCCAATAAAACAGGCTTTAAACCAACAAAGATAAAAAAAAAGACAAAGAAGGGCATTACATAATGGTAAATGGATCAATCCAACAAGAAGAGCTAACTATCTTAAATATATATGCACCCAATATAGGAGCACCCAGATTCATAAAGCAAGTTCTTAGAGACTTAAAAAAAGACTTAGACTCCCACACAATAATAGTGGGAGACTTTAACACTCTACCATCAATATTAGACAGATCAACAAGACAGAAAATGAACAACGATATTCAGGACTTGAATTCAGCTCTGGACCAAGCAGACCTAATAGACATCTGCAGAAGTCTCCACCCCAAGTCAACAAAATATACATTCTTCTCAGCACCACATAGCACTTATTCTAAAATTGACCACATAATTGGAAGTAAAATACTCCTCAGCAGATGCAAAAGAACAAAAATCAAAACAAACAGTCTCTCAGACCACAGTGCAATCAAATTTCAAATTAGAACTCAGGATTAAGAAACTCACTCAAAACTGCACAACTACATTGAAACTGCACAATCTGCTCCTGAATGACTACTGGTTAAATAACGAAATTAAGACAGAAATAAATAAGTTATTTGAAACCAATGAAAACAAAGACACAATGTACCAGAATCTCTGGGAGACAGCTTAAGTGGTGTTCAGAGAGAAATTTATAGCACTAAATGCCAACATGAGAAAGTGGCAAAGATCTATAATTGATACCCTAGCATCATAATTAAAAGAACTAGAGAAGCAAGAGCAAACAAATTTGAAAGCTAGCAAAAGACAAGAAATAAGAAAGATCAAAGCAGAACTGAAGGAGATAGAGACACAAAAAACCCTTCAAAAAATCAATGAATCCAGGAGCTTGTTTTTTGAAAAAAAATTTAACAAAACAGATAGACTGCTAGCCAAACTAATAAAGAAGAAAAGAGAGAAAAATCAAATGGACACAATAAAAAATAATAAAGGGGATATCACCACTGTTCCCACAGAAATACAAATTAGCATCAGATAATACTATAAACACCTATATGAAAATAACCTGGAAAATCTAGAAGAATTGGATAAATTCCTGGACACTTACACCCTCCCAAGACTAAACCAGGAAGAAGTCAAATCCCTGAATAGACCAATAACAAGTTCTGAAATGGATGCAGTAATTGATAGCCTACGAACCAAAAAAGCCCAGGGCCAGACAGATTCACAGTCGAATTCTACCAGAGGTACAAAGAGGAGCTGGTACCATTCCTTCTGAAACTATTTCAAACAATAGAAAAAGATGGACTTTTCCCTAACTCACTTTATGAGGCCAGCATCATCTTGATACCAAAACCTGGCAGAGACACAATAAAAAAAAATTTGAGGCCAATATCTCTGATGAATATCCATGTGAAAATCCTCAATAAAATACTGACAAACCAAATCCAGCAGCACATCTAAAAGCTTATTAACCATGATCAAGTGGGCTTGATCCCTGGGATGCATGGCTGGTTCAACATATGCAAATCAATACACATAATCCACCACATAAACAGAACCAATGACCAAAACCATGTGATTATCTCAATAGATGCAGTAAAGGCCTTCAATAAAATTCAACACCCATTCAGGCTAAAAACTCTCAATAAACTATGTATTGATGGTATGTATCTCAAAATAGAAAGAGGTATTTATGACAAACTCACAGCCAATATCATACTGAATGGGCAAAAGCTAGATGCATTCCCTTTGAAAACCAGCACAAGACAAGGATGCCCTCCCTCATCATTCCTATTCAACATAGTATTGAAAGTTCTGGCCAGGGCAATCAGGCAAGAGAAAGAAATAAAGCGTATTCAAATAGGAAGAGAGGAAGTCAAATTGTCTTTGTTTGCAGATGACATGATTGTATATTTAGAAAACCCCATCATCTCAGCCTAAAAACTCCTTAAGCTGATAAGCAACTTCAGCAAAGTCTCAGGATACAAAATCAATGTGCAAAGAATGACATGCACTCCTATACAACAATAATAGACAAACAGAGAGCCAAATCATGAGTGAACTCCCATTCACAATTGCTACAAAGAGAATAAAACACCTAGGAATACAACTTACAAGAGATGTGAAGGAACTCTTCAAGGAGAACCTCAAACCACTGCTCAAAGAAATAAGAGAGGACACAAACAAACGGAAAATCGTTCCATGCTCATTGACTTTATTCATGGATAGAAAAATCTACTTTAAATTTCATATGAAACCAAGAAAGAGTTTGTATATCCAAGACAATCCTATGCAAAAAGAACAAATCTGGAGGCATTATGCTACCTGACTTCAAACAATACTACAAAGCTACAGTAACCAAAACAGCATGGTACTGGTACCAAAACAGATATATAGACCAATGAAACAGAACAGAGGCCTCAGACATAACGCCACACTTCTACAACCATCAGATCTTTGACAAAACTGACAAAAGAAAGCAATGGGGAAAGGATTCCTTATTTAATAAATGATGTTGGGAAAAACTGGCTAGCCATATGCAGAAAAGTGGAACTGGAGCCATTCCTTACCCCTTATACAAAAATTAATTCAAGATAGATTAAAGAATTAAATGTAAGACCTAGAACCATAAAAACCCTAGAAGAGAACCTAGGCAATACCATTCAGGACGTAGGCATGGGCAAAGACTTTATGAAAAAAACACCAAAAGCAATTGCAAGAAAAGCCAAAATTGACAAATGTAATCTAATTAAATTAAAGAGCTTCTGCAAAGCAAAAGAAACTATCATCAGACTGAACAGGCAACATACAGAATGGGGGGTTATTTTGCAATCTATCCATCTGACAAAGGGCTAATGTGCAGAATCTACAAGGAACATAAACAAATTTACAAGAAAAAAACAAGCAACCCCATCAAAAAGAGGGCGAAGGATGGTAACAGACACTTCTCAAAAGAAGACATTTATGTGGCCAATAAACATATGAAAAAAAGCTCATCATCATTGGTCATTAGAGAAATGCAAATCAAAAGCACAATAAGATACCATATCACGCCAGTTAGAAAGGTGTGATCATTAAAAAGTCAGGAAACAAGAGGATGTGCAGAAATAGGAACACTTTTACACTGTTGGTGAGAGTGTAAATTAGTTCAACCATTGTGGAAGAATGTGGCAATTCTTCAAGGATCTAGAACCAGAAATACCAATTTTCCCAGCAATCCCATTACTGGGTATATACCCAAAGGATTCCAAATCATTCTACTATAAAGACACATGCACACATATGTTTACTGCACCACTATTCACAATAGCAAAGACTTGGAACCAAACCAAATGCCCATCAGTGGTACACTGGATAAAGAAAATGTGGCACATATATAACATGGAATACTATGCAGCCATAAAAAAAATGAGTTGATATCCTTTGCAGGAACATGGATGAAGCTGGAAACCATCATCCTCGGTAAACTAACACAGGAACAGAAAACCAAACACTGCATGTTCTTACTCATAAATGAGAACTGAACAGTGAGAACACATGGACACAGGCAGGAGAACATCTCACACCAGGGCCTGTCAGGGGCTGGGGGGCTGGGGAGGGATAGCATTAGGAGAAATATCTAATTTAGATGATGGGTTGTTGGGTGCAGCAAACCACCGTGGCACATGTATACCTACGTAACAAATCTGCACATTCAGCACATGAATCCCAGAACTTAAACTATAATTAAAAAAAAAAAAAAAAAACTTCTGGACTTCTTGATCTTTTGAATAGATTTTTGTGTCTCAATTGCCTTCGGTTCAGCTCTGATTTTGGTTATTTCTTGTCTTCTGTTAGCTTTGGGGTTGATATTGCTTCTCTAATTCTCTCGGTTGTGACATTAGCTTGTTAATTTGAGATCTTTCTAACTTTTCGATGCAGGCATTAAATGCTATGAATTTCCCTCTTATGACTGCCTTACTTGTTTCCCAGATTCTGGTATGTTCTATCTTTGTTGTCATTAATTTCAAAGAACTTCTTGATTTCTGCCTCAATTTTATGATCTACCCAAAAGTCATTCAGAAGTATGTTTTTTTAATTTCCATGGAATTGCCCAGTTTTTAGCAATTTTTTTAGTATTGACTTCTATTTTTATCACACTGTGGTCCAAGAATGTGTTTGATATGATTTCAGTTATTTTCCATTTGTTGAGGTTTGTTTTTTGTGCAATTATGTGGTCAGTGTTAGAGTATGGAGTATGTGTCATGTGGTAATGAAGAGAATGTATATTTTGTTGGGTTTGGGTTGAGATTTCTGCAGAGTGCCAACAGATCCGTTTGGTCCAATATTGAGTTCAGATCCTGAATACCTTTGTTAATTTTCAGCCTTGACAATCTATCTAATGTTGTCAGTGTAGTGTTGAAGTCTACCACTATCATTGTGTAGGAACCCATGTCTCTTTGTAGGTCTCTAAGGATTTGCTTTATGAATCTGGGTGCTCCTATGTTGAGTGCACATAGAATTCTGATAGTTATTTTTGAATTGAACCCATTATCATTATTTTATGCTCCTCTTTTTCTTTTTTGATCTTTGTTGGTTTAAAGTCTGTTTTGTCTGAAGTTAGGATTGCAATTCCTGCTTTTTTATTTTTTCCATTGTCTTGGTAGATTTTCCTCCATCCCTTTATTTTGAGCCTATGTGCATCATTATGTGTCACATGGGTCTCTAGAAGACTGCATACTATTAGGTCTTTATTTCTCATCCAGCTTGCCACTCTGTGGCTTTTAAGTGGGGCATTTAGCCTATTTACATTCAAGGTTAGTACTGATATGTGTGGATTTAGTCCTGTAACTATGTTGTTAGCTGGTTATTATGCTGGCTTGTTTGTGTGCTTGCTTTATAGTGTCACTGATCTGTGTATTTAAGTGTGTTTTTTCATTAGCTGGTAGCAGTCTTTCTTTTCTGTATTTAATGCTTTCTTTAGGAGCTGTTGTAAGGAAAGTCTGATGGTAATGAACTCCCTCAATATTTCCTTTTCTTATAAGGATCTTATTTCTCCTTTACTTAGGAAGTTTAGTTTGGCTGAATATAAAATTCTTTGTTGATTTTTTTTTCTTTAAGAATGTTGATATAGCCCCCCAATGTTTTCTGGTTTGCATGTTTCAGCTGAGAGGTCTGCTGTTAGCCTGAAGGGATTTCCTTTGTAGGTGACCTGCCCTTTCTCTCTGGCTGCCTTTAACATTTTTTCTTTTACTTCAACCTTAGAGAATCTGAAGATTATGTGTCTTGGGGATAATCTACTTGTGTAGTATCTTTCAGGGTTTCTCTGTATTTCCTGGATTTGACTGTTGGCCTTTCTCACAAAGTTTGGGAATTTTTTATGGATGATATCTGAAATATGTTTTCCAAGTTATCTGCCTTCTCCCCTCCTACTCAGGGATGCCAGTGATTCATAGATTTGGCCTCTTTACATAATCCCATATTTCTTGGAGATGTTGTTTATTTATTTTTTTCTTTTTGCTTTATTTTTGTCTTACTGTCTTATTTCAGACAGATTTCAAGTTCTGGGATTCTTTTCTCAGCTTGGTCTATTCTGCAATTAATACTTGTGATCGTATTGTGAAATTATTGTATTATGTCTCTCAGCTCTGTCAGAACTGTTAGGTAATTTTTGATACCAGATATTTTGTCTTTTGGCTCCTGTGTCATTTTATTGTGATTCTCAGTTTTTTGGATTGGGTTTTGCCATTCTCCTGAATCTCAATTATCTCTATTCTCAATCATATTTTCAATTCTATCTCTGTCATTTCAGATAGCTCAGCCTGGTTAAGAACTTTTGTTCGAGAACTGTTGTGATCATTTGGAGAACATACAAAACTCTGGTTATTTCTGTTACTAAAGTTCTTGAGTTGGTTCTTTCCATCTCTGTGTTTGAGTATTTTTTAACTGCAGTGTAGATTGAGTAACACTCGTAAACTTCTTCACTGGATGTTTTCACAGTACCCAAGCCTTTGTGCAGGGTCTTTATTTGGAGCTGACATCTTGTCTTTGGTTTCACAGAGGTTATATGAGTGAGGTATTTTTGGTGTTGAAGCTTTGGGGGTGTGATTCAGTAGGTGGCACTTAAGCATATTGGTCAGTTGGTAGACTTGCTGCGTTGTGTGGCTCCCCTAATTTTCCTCACAGTTCCAGCTGTGTTTCCTCTCAATGATCTGAACATGTGGGCTCCTCTCCCCATTGAGTTCTAGCTATAGAATGTGGCTTGGCACTCCTGAACTGCCCATTGCAGCTCTGGGACAATCTCAGTGTTTATGTTTCTTTCCCAACTTGGAGGCAACAGAGGCAGGAACCTTAGCAGTGATTGTGGCCAAGGGTCTTTTGCTTCTCTCCTGGGTGTTCCACCCCAGTAAGATGCAGGTCAGTAATCTCTCAGTGCAATCAGTCCAGGAAGGAGGGTCTGTGCTCTTGGCCCAAGCCAGGGGTTCCCTTTCTGGTAATGAGTGGTGTGGGTGGATGGAACCCATAGGAGTTGGACTGGTCTTTTCTCTTTGGGTTGACTGCAGCTTGTTAAAGGTGTGGATAAGGCACTTAGAGTCTTTAGTTTTTTGTTAGTCTGTGGGTAGCAAGGGCAGTTCCACTGCAGAGGAAGTGGCAGAGAGGCTTTCAGTTGCCCCTGGGGGCTCTGTCTAGGGAGTTGCAGAGCTGCTAGTTGCTCAATAACCTTAGCAGGGGTGAATGGAGGCCCAGGCCTGGAGGACCTGCCCAGTAAGTTCCACCTCAGAGAGATGTAATGCTGCTGCTGATGGCTGGCTGGAATTCCAAGTCAATGGGTCTTGTCCTGTGTGGTGCCATGGAAGTGGGACCTGCAGACTGTCACTGCTAAGTTCCCTGGATTCAGCCCCTTTCCTATGGGGTATACCTAGGGGTCTAACCTCCTGCTTTGCTAAAGTTGCAGCTGCTTTTGCTGGGAAGCCCGGAAAGCCTAGGTATCTAAGGCCCCCCATGTGTGCCTGAGTGGCTGCTCTACTGAGACTCCATGTAACTGTGTGTCAGAATAAAAGCCCTGAGGAAGTGGGCTCATGAGGAAATCTCCCTACCTGAAGGTTGCAAAGATTCATGGGAGAAGCATGGGTTCCCAGGGTAACTTGCTTGCTCACCACTCCTTTGGGTGGTTTAGGTTCCCCCGGCTCTGTGTCACTCCAAGGTAGGCTATTGTCCTACCTTGCTTTTCTTCATTCTCCATGAGTTGAGTTATTTACTTGATTAGTCCCAATGCATGTACCTTGATGTTTCAGTTGAAGGTACTGTATTTACTCACCCCTTCTGTTCTTCTCCATGAGAAGAACATACCAGCCACATACTAGCTGCTTCTAGTCAGCCATCTTGGCCACCCCCATTCTTTATTTATATTACTTCCTTTTGATTATTTATGAGTTTCATTCTCTTTGCCTGCATTACCCATTGAACCTTGCATGTTATGTGCTTTTATATTTGGGCCATTAACTTAGGACACATAGTTATTTTAAGTGCCCTAAATACCTTGCCAAATAATTACATCTGTGTCATCACAAATTTGATTCTAATGATTGCTTCATTTCATTAGACGTGCATATTTTTGCATTTTGATATGCCGTGTGATTTTTTGTTTTGTATTGATTAGTAGAAAATAAGGTACATAGATCTTTATTGTGCAAATCAATGTTATTCTGGATACAAATTGGGCTATGTTTGATGTTTGTTTTAAGTATAGGGTCCAAAAGCTGCAACTTCCCTTTGTGTCCTCTCGACTTTAAGCTTCCCAAAACACCCTCCTTCAGTGACTGTCTCATCTCTTCTGCTGTAATCCACTGTTAGTTTAATGGAACTCAGTAACTTTGGTAATATGGTGTGGGGTAGGGACAGTGTTCTAATATTTGTTATCCGTCTTTTTGATGATTTGTGTATCAGGTTTGTGAGCTTCACTAGTTTGTTTTCTTTTACTTCTCCCAATTGTAGCTTTCTTCCTCCCTCCACCCCTGCCCCACCACCAAACCCTACTCTTTTCCCTGACTGTAGTGTTCTCAATCCATATTTTTAAAAACCTTCTGGAAAAACAGTAAGGCTGGGGACCGCTTGAGTGCAAAGGCATTCCCTTTCCTCATATGAAATAAAGTTTTGAATGGCACTCTGACAAAGTTATTTTCCTTAGAGAGTAGGACTCTGTTACTGAGAATAATTTGGCAGTATATCACATAGTTACTGCTAGAGCCTTGAGGGAATCTTTCTAGTGTCCTCACCATAAAAACCCAAGGCAGGGTAGGGGTGGTTTCCTGGTGCAAAAGCCCATGAAAATGTGGTGTCCTCCAGGGATTTATAACTCACCCTCTACCAATTAATGAAAATAACAATTTAATGCTGCTGTCAGTTTATTGCTCCAGCCACTTCTGCTGCAAGTAAACAGATCTTAGTTGGTACATCTCTCTGGCTGCACCTATCTCTCCAGTTGTTGGAGTGATGGGTTGTTCTGTGACTCAAATTTTCTAATGGTTCCAAGAAAAGTCACTAATTTTGTTTGTGTAATTTTTTGTTGGCATAAAAATGGGAGTGAAGACTTCTCAGTTCCTTTTATGTTGGAGCTGAAATGAGAAGTCCTACTCAGTCTCTTTTAAAGGTAAACTCACTGTAAGTGGTTTAATTTAAAAGTAAAATAAAATGGATATTCATGTGTTGACTCTTTTGTCAGATATCTTAATTGAAAAGTCTGGATTATCTAAAATAATCTAATTAAGATACCTGAGAGTCAACCAAATAGAAATCCCCAAAAGTTTATTAACTTTTACTTAAAAAATAAAAACATTTTTGGAATAAAGAATTTGAAGAATAGTAGAAGTATAAAATACTCTGAAAAATGGCATCAGAATAGATCACAAGGTATTGATGTCAATACCTTACCAATTTTAATTACCCCTGCATTTTATTAGCAAACATTAAAATATTTATTTTCAATAAAGACATATGACTATGAAAGCTATAGTTTAATTTATTTTTGCTCTTTTGATTGATTTTGTTTTGATTGATTTAAATACTGTCCCAGAGAAACTTGCACAACTTTTGAAAAACATGGCCAGAGTTAATAATAATCCGCAGATTTCTCAAACAATTAGTAGCAACAATAGTTTATGATAAACTTTTGTTGTCTAGGAGATACCAAAACTTGAAGATTTTGGCAGATTTAAGTGAATATTAATTCAATCACAGGAGATTTTCAGGGCTTTATTAAATGTTACTAATGTAGATGCTTCTTTCCAAGATAAGCAAAGTAGAATCACACAGTATGTATTTGCAGATATTGAGTAAAAATGATTATCTAGTGAAAGAAAAGTGTGTGATTTTTTTTGCAAACCTCTCTTTTTATATTAAGTTCAAACAATTTCAACTAAATTAGCAATACAGAAAAATACAAAGTCAAGAAATGTTACATGTTACCATTTTGAGTATAAGCAATTTTATAAATAATTTTTAATGAAAGAAATTATAATTTGGTAATTTTGTGTATCATAATAACACACTATTAATTTATATATTGCCAAATTTTACTTCAAATGGGTATTTATTGATCTCAAAAAGGCAAGTTCCCTTTTTCTAAACATAAACATGTATTTCTGTCTAAAATAAATGTTTTTTAATTTGAATATATTGGGAAGTTACTGTTAACATTATGACAGATGTATTTTATTTCATGGTTTTAAATATTTCGATGAGACATATAGATTAAAATTGTAAAGAAACATGAAAAAATAAAAATAGAAAATCAAGGCCAGGAGTGGTGGCTCACACCTGTAATCCCAGCACTTTGGGAGGCTGAGGCAGGGGGATCACGAGGTCAAGAGTTCAAGACCAGCCTGGTCAGCATGGTGAAACTCCATCTCTACTAAAAATACAAAAATGAGCCACATGTGGTGGCACGCGCCTATAGTCCCAGGTACTCGGGAGGCTGAGGCAGGAGAATCACTTGACCATGGGAGGCGGAGGTTGCAGTGAGCCAAGATCATGCCACTGTACTCCAGTCTGGGTGACAGAGCAAGACTCCATCTCCAAAAAAAAAAAAAAAAAAAAAAAAAAGTAAGTCATAATAATATGCTTAAGGGGTTTAATAGACAAGAATTAGTGCTATCTTTTTTTAAAATCAGAAAACATTAATTTTATTTCTTTTTACTTCATTTTTAAAATTATATTTAGTTTTATCTTAGTGCTGCCTAATTACATGCCTAATAAGCATAGCCAGGTGCAGATCGTGCCACTGACTCTAGCCTGGGTGACAGAGCAAGAGTCTGTCTCAAAAAAAAAAAAAGAAAATAATAAGCACACAAAATACTAATATTAAAATGAATACATAAATACTAATGTTATAATCTTATGTTTATAATTTTATCATAAAGTTTGATTATATAAATTACCCAAAAACAGCACTTAAAATACGTATTTTTTAAATATATTTAAGTAATTTAATTATATTATCAGCTTAATGAAATTTACAAATGTCTTAATTAGGCCAACTATTATTCTACTTGTAGAAGAATGTGTGTGACATTACCTGTTACCAAATAGACTGTTAATTTATGTATTCAATTTTTTTTCTTTTTATGTAAGATAATGTCTCAGAATCCTCACAAAAACACCTACTCACATCTATTTTCATGTATAGGAACCCAGGTGCAGATATTTGAAATAATCCTAATTTTATGCCATTCTATATTATGTGCTAAAATTTTTTAAAAAATAAATATATTTTTCCTTTGTTTCTAAGTTTCTACTCCTAACCTATAATTATACTTCTTATATTTTGTTTGATATGCCTTTAAATCTGTACATAAATTGTTAAGCTATATATTTTTGCTTCATGTTTATAGGTTTTAAAGTTATATAAATAAGATATGCTTCAAATTTTACTTCCCTCATAATGTTTTCACTTAACAGTTTTTTAATATGTCCATGTAGCCTGTTTCTTTTAAATGTTGCATAACATCAGTGGTATAAAATCTAAAATAGTTTACATAATCATTCTTTAAAAAGTAGTCAGCTAGGTTGCCCCCTAATCTATATTACCAAAAATAGAGCAATCTTTCTACTACTTACAAATGTAAGTAATTTGCATGAATTTGTCTGGGATGTAAGTTCATGATGAATTTGCTGTGTTGTAAAGTGCAGGAGATTTCTCCAGGTGGCCTTGAACTGAACTAGTTTTCCTCCTTTCTCACTTATAATTCTCAAGAATAACTGTGGAATGTGCTGGGAATGTAATATCCTCCATTAAGCGGAAACTAGCTGGAAGAGTTAAGGCTCTGCTCTAGTCCTCTAGGTCTCCAACCCCACTCCCCAGAAACTGATGTCTTTCATTGCATTAGCCCAGCAATTCCCAACACTGTGTAACTGAACGCAGGTCCGGATGCTCTACACTTACAGAGTCCAGTTACGAGCAAGTTCTGGGAGAAAGAAAGTGACTTTATTACCCAAAACTAGTAATGGGGAAATGTCTGATTCCCATCCAAAGCAACCACTTCAATTTTGGGGAAGAAAGCAGAGATTTAAAAAGAGGAAACTTGATAAGGAATGCATGCAGGAATTGTTCTGAGTACATTGTCTGTGTGTCTTGCACTGTGGCTATCATGGGTAACAGTCCACCTGGATCTCGGACTGCTGTCATCTCAAAAATGTCAGAGTTGTTAACTACTGCCTTGAAGTAAACTCTGAAATTCTGCCACTGGGTCTCCAGGCTTGATTTTTGTGTCTCAATATTAGCCCCTGGAACTTCTAAGAAGGCACATAATTAGAAAATAGCATACAGTTAGATAAATGTGAATAGAGTATATATGTGGTGAGAAAAGGCGGGACATGGAGTCTATTTGAAAGCAGAGAAAAAAGACTTCTTTAGTTTGCTTCAAGGTTATCTCTTGAAACCGAAGGGAAAGGAAAAAAAAAGTTTAAAGTGCATTTTGACGTTGAGTTGCCCGGTTACCCTTGGGGTACATAACTCAGAGATAGCTGCTTTCTGGGTTCTCTCAGCTGCGGTGCAAATGGGGCATGTGCAATTGAGACTGTATCTGTATCTGCCCCAGACAGATTTTCTGAGCCTTGGAGGATCACTGGCCATGAATCCTAGGTTTCTGTTGTTCCTTGCTGCCTATCTGTTAGTAGCAGATGCACTTCATGTAACTTGTGGAGGGCAGGGAATGAGTTGTTAACCCATGCACATAAACAGGCTGCTTCACATAAGACCTGTGAATTTTTAATTTGTCAGTCAGAAATTTTAAATTTATATTTAGGGTGGTTCTACCAGGCTAATGTTTCAGTAGCATTTCACATCTCCAGATATTTTGCCATTTCAATTGGTGTACAGTGGTAATATGCTTTAATTTGTATTTTCCTAATTATTAATGACCTATGAAACCTGTTTTATCTATTAGGTGGAACTTCAGATTTCTCCCTATGAAAATTGATAATTCACATCTTTTGCCTATTTTACAAATTTACTATTTTTTTTCTGGTTAATTAACAGGTGTTTCTTACATATTCTAGAGAAGAATCTCTAACTTATTTTACTTTGACTATGCTTTTGCCATGTTTGTTTATTTCTTTGACTAAATGATTCTTCAATGAAGAGAAATCCATAATTTTGTTGACAAATTAATTTATTTCATGCCTTTTGATGCTTAGACTAAAAATATCTTTTTCCACAAATATATGTATAATATATATTTGGTATATCCAATACCAAAAATTTGTCTTTTATTTATACTGCTATCTTTATTATATAGGAAGCTCTGATAGTAATAAAGGTCTTTCTTATATTGTTATTCTGTTTCACTGGTCTGTTTGCTTCAACACAAATTGATTTAATTAATTTGCAGTTGTTTTTAGTAACTCAGAAACTTTTATTTATATTTACCTTTAAAATTAATTGAAAGAACTTTAATGGATAGAAAAGTGTACGGTCCTAAAGGTAGAGAATAATTACAAAATGAACACAAATGTATAACCACCATTGAGGTGAACGAAATGATACATTGCCCTCTGAAGGACATTAGAGGTCTTCCTTGATTTCCTACACAGTCATTACCTAACTGTGCTCAGTATATATTAATTTGTTTTAAACTTTATGCAAATAAAATTATGCAAAATGAATTTTTAATCTAGCTTTTTACATTCAAAATTACATTTGTGAGATTTATTCATGCTGAATATAGATGGTCTTCATTAAAAAGTCATATTCCACAATAGAAATAAGCTAAAATTTTATATTATAATGTAGCTAGTATTTTCAATTTGGGGCTATTTGAAAAAAGGGCTGCCATGAATATGCTTGTCTTCATCCTTAGACACACATATTAATAAGTGTTTGTTGGAGATACACCTGCAAAGGATAATTGTTGTATCCTAGCATATGCCATAAAATACAAGGAATTCCTCAAAGTGATTTTACCAAACTGCCTCCTTTTGGTCAATGTCTTTGTTAATGCTTGGTGTAATCACATTTTAACTTTAGAAATTATGGTTTTGGATAATGGTATCTTATTTTGGCTTTAATTTTAATTTATCTGATGATAAATGATTTTGAGCATTTTTTCAAATGTTTATTGCCCATTAGAATATACAAATTGACTTTTTAATTTTTACTGTATCACTTTCATTTTTGTATTGTTTTATGGGGAGAATATATATTTGGGGTGATGTAGATATATAATACATAAAATATTGAAACTAATATATAAATTATATATAGTTCAGTTTCATATATTGAAAATGTTTCCTCCATGTCATAGTTTACATTTTTACTCTATTAATGGTATTCTTTAGTAGAACACAGTATTTTTTCTTTATAATTTGTGTTTTTGTGTTATGATTAAGGAATCTGTTTAATTCAAAGTCTGCAGTGTTATCTTTCAGAAGCTTTTTCCTTATACCTTACATTTATATCTGAATCTGGTAAGGATTGATTTTTGTGTATGTTGGAAGACAGGGGTCCAGTTTTTCTGTTTTGTTCTCATAAGACTACCTAATTGATCCAGGTCTTCCTTTCCATTTCTCTGGAGAGCTATCTTGGCCAGGTGATATAAATCAAGTGACTATAAAAGTGTGGGTCATTTTCTGGACTCTTTGTTAATGCCTCCAGCAGGCAAATAGGCCCCATTAGGCTCACTTTTCTGGGATTTCATTCTTCCTTTCTTGAAAGTTATCGATACCTTGATAATTCTCTAAGACCTTCAGCAAGGTTTTATGTTTTCTATTATTTTTTCCATCTAGGTATTTTCAGTGACCATGTAGTTCTGAAATAAACTTCTCTGCCACACAAAGAAGAAGAACTGAACATTTAGTTTTGCTTTTAATGAAAAATAATTGATTTATACTGTTTGACACTGTTTCTAAGTATATTAAATTGATCATGTATTTTTTCCTTTAGTCCATTTTATAGACTAAATGGATAAAACTAATCATCCCTATTTGCACAAGACTGTCCCCATTTTAACACTGTAAATCCAGCATCTTAGGAAACTCCTTGGGCCCAAGCAACCTGATATACTGGTTTACCATATTAATATCGGCCCATATATTGGTAGATATTCTAATTTTATGTTTTTCATTTATAGTTGGGATAAACTCTACAGTATACTCAAACTTTAACCTTAATTGTATTCTAGTACTAAGTAATTTTTTAAAAAAGGGTTTTATATTAGCTTAGATTAGGTTTGGCTACACTTAACAGATGAACCTAAATAATGGTGGATAAATAAAATACTTGTTTTTATTCTGTTTCTCATGTTTTGAAATTCTAGAACTGGTAGGCTCCAAGTTGGTATGGTCTATTCTCCATGAAGTCAAATTCCCAATTCCCTCTTACATTATTTCTTCCTCATAAATGGCCTTCATTCCAAACCACTACTCATGGTCCAGCATGCCTACTAGAGTTATGACCATTAAGCCATTAAGCAGAAAGTGTGAGAAGGCCTCCAACTTTCCATTTGTAAGAACATTTCCTATGAGCTGTGCAAACCACTTCTATCTTTTTAGCCAGAATATAATCATATGGTCATATCTATATGAAACAGATATTTAATATTCTCATGGACTCTTTTGTTCATTATGTGTGTACTATTGAGGAAGATAAGAATGGCTATTTAGTAAAAATTAAGTATTTGCAACAGATATTTTAGAATAAAAAGAGTTTATATTCTTATGTTCTTTTATTTTGATATCTGATTTGGGGAATCTAGAATACATAAGCATCACAGAATGATGGAAACAACTCTTTCTTCTTTTTTTCTTTTCTGGAAAAACTGGTCTCTTAAAGTTTGTTAGAAGTTATTATAGTGTTTGGCCAGACTTGGTGTCTTACATCTGTAATCCTAGCACTGTGGGAAGCCACGGCAGGAGGATCACTGTTGATGATATATTACTAAGTGTAGTCTAAGGTCATATATGTTCTTCGAACAAGAATGTCATATTTTATCTTCTCTCCATTAACTCATTTTTGACTATGTGACTAGAAAGCCTCTTTTAAAGCATTGAATTCTGTTCCAAATCTAGACTGCTTTAGTATTTTGCATTTTTTAAAGGAGTGGAGAAAGCTAAAGGCAAGAGTGCAAGCAAGGCCTTACTTATGATAAATGTGTGTGTATTTTTCAAAAATATATTCAATTCAATACTCTAAATTATCACATGTTCAGTTTTTTGGAGTTCATTTGAATAAACTTTATGAGATCCAAAAACTGAAAGATAGATATTGAAGAGGAGACATCAATCAAAATTTAGTGTATTATGTGTATGCTTCTGGGATGGAGAGCGGACATGATTTAGAAGCATTTGGTGACATTTTAATGCTATTGGTAATGTTCTTATTCTTAAAGTGTGTAACTCTATTAAGTGTTAATCCTTTTTTCAAAACCAGCATAAATATTATACATATTATTTAATGTGTATCTAACTACACTTATAAAAGTATAATTTTTCAAGAAAAGCTAAAATCATAACTAATGCTAATATAAATTAAAAATACATCAAATATTTTAATTTAATTAAATAGGAGAGATTAATAAAGGAGAGATTCAGCAAAACATTTAGATCAATGCAAATAGCAGTTGAGAACCTGTGTAATTAAAGGCAAGTTGATAAAGAAATGTCATTACAAGATTATGGGGTCAGATACATCTCTAATTAATATCCTATAAAGAAAATGAAGTGTGTCTTTAGCCCACATGATGTTGTCAAGATGTGCAACTCAGATGTTTGCCTTGTTGTCAAGTTTTTGGGGTATTTTTTTAAATAAGTTTAAAAACTTAGAAAGAAAGTAAAATTAATAAATTAAAAAGAAAATGTATATTTGTACAAAAAATATTTGCTTCACTTAAAATTATTATTTAAATAATGTTAATAACCCACATCTCATTAGATATTAAGTAAGACATTTTCTTATATTTTCTTTTTTTTTTTTTTTTGAGATGGAGTTTCACTCTGTCACCCAGGATGGAGTGCAGTGGTGCGATCTCGGCTCACTGCAAGCTGTGTCTCCCGGGTTCATGCCATTCTCCTGCCACAGCCTCCCGAGTAGCTGGGACTACAGGTTCCCGCCACCACGCCCAGCTAATTTTTTGTATTTTTTAGTAGAGACGGGGTTTCACCGTGTTAGCCAGGATGGTCTCGATCTCCTGACCTTGTGATCCGTCCGCCTGGGCCTCCCAAAGTGCTGGAATTACAGGCGTGAGCCACCGTGCCCAGCCTATATTTTCTTAAATTGTCTCTTTTATCAATGTTTAAAATAGAAATGAAGATAAGAATATTAAATAAAAATCAATTAATAGTATCTTAAGAATGTTTCTTTTTCTGCATGACTCATCTATTCAACAGCTGTTTGTTGTGTTCTATAGTGTATCTTGTACATGTTGAGTGCTGCTCTGAGAATCTGGAAATACGAAGGAAACAAGATATAATAATTATTGCCTCTTGTTGCATTTACATTTTAGTGGCAGGCAGTAGATAACACTTAAATAAAACCAATAACAGAACTTCAGATAGTGATACATGCAATGTAAAAATATATATAAAAAATAATAAAGTTTGGATAATAGGAGAGAAATATGGGGAATAGATAAAATAGACTGTCGGTTTAGGTCAGTGAAGCCTTCTTAATGAGAAAAGCTAGTTGTGCTAAAATCACATGTGCTTCTGAATGGAATAAGTGATAAAAATCGCATCTTGCAATTTAAAAAATAGGTAACTAATATACATCTCTCAGATAAATTGAACTTATCTAATATACTGTGCCGTCAAATTTCCAAATAGAAAAGGCTTATGTTTCTATCCTGATACTGTTTCAAAGCCATTTTTCAAAATATAAAACAAAATATGAATTATCTTTGGAGTTGTGGGAATGCCATGGATTATAGTATTAGATTAAGTTTAACAAGATTGTTTAATCATATTGCAAAAACCACAATTGCTGCTCAATCTTAAGATGTGGTGGAAGTGTTTATATTATCTTCATCTCTATTGCTATAATTACCATTAATCTTTAGGGTTTGAAATGAATAGCTTCTTTTTTATTATAAAAGTGATACATGTACATGGGAATAAAATTTTAAACCATATAGATGGGCATATTATTGAAAGTAAAATTTCCTTCCCTGCCATTCCTCAAATTCTTGCTCATATTTGTCATTTTCTGTTTTTGGTTCATCTGACATGTTATGTTCAGTAGACTTGATTAAGTTTTCCCAGTTTCAGATATCATTCCATATTATATATACATTATTTTGTATAAATGAAATACTATGATTGAATCATAGAGAAAGAAATATGTGTATGTTATTGAGCTTATGCTACTTTGTTCAAATTTCAAGATCAGATGGAATATGTCTTCTTCTTCAACTGACTAGAATGTTTTATCTTGTTTTTGAATTTTCAGTTTCTTGTTCATCTTCTTCCCCCAGTCCCTCTTACACTTGAATTTTCTACTGATTTTCTATTATTTTGTTATTAAACAAGAAATTTTACTTAATAAACCACTAACATGTTCATTTAATCAAACAACTAACTAATATGCTTCCTTCTTTTTAGGAGCATTATATGGCTGTTGTCCGGGAATCTTATTAAGTTGCATATTTGGCTACTCTTTAATTCTAATGTCTTACACTTTCTTGACTCTTTTTTTTTTTTTCAAGTCATATTGCAGCACTCCAGAAACATACTGGATGCTTGCATGTTATCAATTCTTTTCATTTTATCCTTATACTAATTGATAATACATGGCATTTTATGTGGAAAATAATTTTTCCTGAGAACTGTACAGACATTGTTTTTTCTAAATTCACTAACAATCACCTCTTCCCCCAGCGTTTTTCTCCCTTAGTTTGGGTTTTCCCAAAGGAGCCTTTTAAGCAAGATTTTGATTTCAGATAGTTGATTTTGGAGATGAACCTAAAAATATTTGCAGTGTAGACAGGAAATCTCACAGAAAAGGGAAGGCAACCAATACAAGGTTTGTTATCAAGTGAATTATCACAGTGGGTATCTGAAACCTCATCCCGCAGAGGATCCTTGAGAATCAGTGTAACTGTTGTGCCTCAATGTAATTCCCCCTGAGGAGTGAGGAATTAGGGGTATTTACTCTCCAGTTTTTATCATGCATTGAGCGGGGCATTGGATTCCCTGGCATGGGTTCTGATGAGCTGAGAATCTTAGACAAAGAAACTCAGGTGCTGGCAGTTGGACTTTGGGTGAAGAGTTGGAGCTCTGACTGCATATGCTATGTTGTTTATTTCTACACAGTCTGTCATCTTGTATCTGTTTTCCTACTCTAGAAGAATTTATGAAATTATCTTTATTCCTTGAATTTCAAAATTTCAGAAGAATGAATCTATGTATATGAGGATCATTTAGTCTGTCTAACATTTGGTAGTCTAAAGTCTTTCTTTAGCTCTGTGAAAAGTTATTGTTATTATTTTGATTATTTCCTTCATTCCACTCTCATTCTTTTTTTTCTTTCAGAAACCACTATTAGACAGATGTTGGTAGATTTCCTAGGCTTTATTTTCTCACACACATATTGATTTTTCCCTAAACAATTGTGTTTTTATGTTCCGTGACCTCTATCTTGTTTACTGCTTTTTTTCACAGCAAGCTGTTAGGTTTTATATATTCTTTTTTATCTTTTTATAGAAGAAATATATTCTGAGGACCTTTTAGGAGCATTCTCTGATTGTCTTGCTCCCATCTATGGCCTTATTCTTAAATTAGTCAAAGTGTTATTGAAAAGAGGCTTTATTATTGTGACAACTCCTTCCAGAGAAAACTCTTTCTGATGCAGGATGCAGAGAGTGGTTTTTCAACTCTCAGCAGCCACTCTTATTTTTTGGTATAGATTTCAAGTACATGTCAGGTATATTTCATTACAGATTTCTCTTAGTTTTGATGTTAAATATTCCTCCCTCCTTTTATTTTATTTAAAATTTTAATTGATTTAGATAGAAGGATATGAAGTAGTTCACTAATTTTATCTCAGGTTAACTCATCTTAAAGTTAATTCATATAAATAGAACCTAAAAGATATACCTTTTTTTGTAAGTAGCTTTCTAAATAGCTTTCTTTCTTTTTTTTTTTTTTTGTATATAGGTTTCTTTTTTTTGTAAGTAATTTCTTAGCAGTTATGAATATTTGTACTTAGTTTCAAAATGAAGTGTTTTTCATCTTTTATTTATTTTGTTTTGAGACAGCGTCTCCCTCCATCTGAACTCCAGGCTGGAGTTCAGTCATGTGATCATAGCTCACTGCAGCCTTGACCTCCTTGGCTTAAGCGATCTTCCCACCTCAGCCTCTTAAGTTGCTGAGACTACAGGTGTACACCACCATGGCAGGCTAATTTATTAATGTTTTGTAGATACGGATCTTGCTATGGTGCCAGGACTAGTCTCAAACTCCTGGGCTCAAGTAATCCTCCTGCCTCAATCTCCGAAAGTGCTGGGATTACAGACGTGAGTCACTGTGCCTGGCAAAATGATATTTTTCTAATTATACAAGTGCTATAAGTTCATCACAGAACTATTTTAAGTACATGAATATATATAAAAAGTAATGCCAGAATATCTATTACAACAGCTCAGATGTTACTTAATCTTAGGTAGTTTTCTCCATATATATTTTCACTAGTGCAGTCCTTTAAAAAATATTTTAGTGTGCATATTTTCATTATTATAATTTATGGTACAGAGATTAACACATACGTTTTCTAATAAAATCTATGTTTTTAGTACTGTTAGGGTTCTCCAGAGGAACAAAACTAATAGATGATACATGTGTATATCCTATTTGTTTATGGAATTTTTATTGCTCCTATAACTAATTATTTAGCAAATATGTATGTATATATACACACAAATACATATATTTCAGGTTACAAATTATAGAAAAGGGCATGTGTATACATACATATATAATTTATACATACATATGTATGTGTATATGTACCCTTTTCCATAATTTTTAACCTGAAATATTGTGTCTGTTGTAGACCTAATTCTAAAAATGAGACAAAGAAGTCAAGACCATGGCTTATACCCATTAAACCATTCCAAGAAATATTACAAACGGACCAAGTAACAGAGCAACTGGTTGTAATGAATTCAGGATTTGAGCCAAATGTCCAGCTCATTTAGTCTGACTTTAAATATATATATTAAAAACCAGCTGGGCATGGTGTCTGTAATCTCAGCACTTTTTGGGAAGCCAAGGCAGCAGTATTACTTGAGTCCAGAAGTTTAAGACCAGCCTGGGCAACACAGCAATACCTATCTCTACAAAAAAATAAAAAATTCGCTGGGCATGGTGGTGTATGCCTGTGGTCCCAGCTACTCAGGAGGCTGAGGTGGGAGGAACGTTTGAGCCCAGAAAGCTGATGTCGCAGTGAGCCATGACTGTACCACTGCAGTTCAGCCTAGGCAACAGCAGGACCCTTTCTCAAAATAAATAAATAAATACATATATATATATAGAGAGAGAGAGAGAGAGAAAGAGAGAGAGAGAGAGAGAGACAGACAGAGACAGAGAGAGAGAGACAGAGAGAGAGAGAAAGAGGGGTAGAATTAGGTCTACAACAGACACAATATTTAACCTTAAAAATTATGGAAAAGAGCACATATGTACATACATATGTAATATGGCTTACAGCATATATATATACATACATATAAGCATACATATATATAAGTCATATTATATGTATGTGTCTATGTGCCCTTTTCCATAATTTTTAACCTGAAGTATATAGAGGAACAAAGCTAATAGGTAGTTGTATGTATATATCCTATTTGTTTATGGATTTTTCATTATATAATATAGTTATATATATAATTGCCTATTTGAAACATTCAGAAAAAATAAATTGCATTAAATATAGTTTTGACAGGCCTCACTTGTATTTTTTAAAAAGGAATTACAAAGTAGATTGAGCCAGAATAAGATAAAGATTACTGTAAATTCTGTACTTATTTGTTTTATTTGTAATAAGGGAGTAACAATTAGCTTAATTTAAATTTTAATATTTTTCATCTGCAAATCATTTCCTAATACCTTAACATGCTTTCTAGTTTCTAGTTTATTTTATTTTAAATTAAAAATCTCATCTGCTATTTGACACTAATATCATTATCCTGATTTTTAAAAACAATTTTTTAAATAATAATATTTATGATGGCAATGATGGAGACTAAAAACATGAAATAAGAAAAAGATTTGGAGTCTGTGTACTTATGTTGAATAGAAGTGAAATAACCAATGTTAAGCAGTGTGAAGAAGGTAAATGGCATTCCCTCTAAAAGACATTGCTTATTAGGGAAGAAGCGCTATTTGTTTTTAAAAGCAATCTAAGTGTAGAGAGAAGAAAATGTGATTATTCATAAACACGTCCAATTTGAGATTTTTTTCTTCTGTGCTTTCTGGTGGTGACATCCATGCGATTCTAGTTTAAATGAGATGTTTGCATTGAATTTGTAGACATTGTGTGTCTCTTCTATATTAACAGTCTGTTCAATTAGGAAAATTACAGAAGAATCTACAATTAAAACAATAACAACAAAAAGTGGTCCACACATGGAAACTTATTGAAAGATACAAAAGAGTTCATAATGTTAGAATGAATTGGGAAATAGAAATAATATTTTTCAAACAAATATGTAAAGGAGGCTGATAAGAAGTCTTCTGAGATATAAAAGAATCAAGAGATTGCTTTGATATGGACACCAAAGGGGAAAAAAAATTAAAAAGACATGCTAAAGTGTAAAATATGATTAAAAGGAGAAAAGAGGGAATTTGATCCTAATAAATAATGTTTTCATGTTGTTTGTTTTTTACGCAAGCTCTTACTCTGTCATCCAGGCTGGAGGGCAGTGGTGTAATCACAGCTTGCTACAGCCTGGACCTGCTGGGCTCAGGTGATTCTTCTACCTCAGCATGGGCCACCATGCATGCCCAGCTATTTTGTGTGTGTGTGTGTGTGTGTGTGTGTGTGTGTGTGTGTGTGTGTGTGGAGACAGGGTTTTTCCATGTTGCCCAGACTGGTCTCAAACTCCTGGGGTCAAGACATTCACATGCCTCAGCCTCCTAAAGTGCTAGAATTATAGGCATAAGCCACCGCACCCGGGCTAAATAGTGTTTTTACAAAAGGTGTACTATTATTGACTTAATTAAATTTTAATCAAGTAATAAAAGATACATTACATAGGACCAAAATAAAATTATAAGAAGATAATACAAGAAGCAAGAGACCCAATTCTCACTGGAAAGTATAGAAAGACTATAACAAGTAATAAGTATATAGAAAGTAAGTAAAAACAAACAAACAAACAAAAAACTGATGGGCTGGGTGCTGTTGCTCATGGCTGTAATCCCAGGACTTTGGGAGGGTGAGGAGGGTAGATGTCTGGAACCCAGAAGTTCAAGAGCAGCCTGGGCAACATGGAGAAACCCCATCTCTAAAAAAAAATAATAAGCCAGGAGTGGTGGCACATGCCTGTGGTCCCATCTACTCAGGAGGCTAAGATGGGAAGATCACTTGAGCCTGGGGAGGTTGAGGCTGCAATTAGCCATGATTGTGCCACTGCACTCCAGCCTGGGTGACAGAGTGAAACCTTGTCTCAAAGCAACAACAACAACAAAAGGAGTGGTAATTCCAGTCTTAATTCAAATCTGAAAAGAGTATTACATTAGTCAGAAAAAAGTAAATGACAAAATAATAATCCTTGACATTCAATTCATATGCAAAATATTTCACAGAATATTTTTACAAATTATTTCCACAGAAACTGTCACTTACATTACACCATATAATTTTCCACATCATACATCATATAGGTGGGCTTTGACTTGTCAATTGGATGCACATATGCAATGAATAGAGTTAACAAAAGACCATTGGTTTCTCCAGAGGAAAAAGGAAAACTTAATTTTCTAAAAGCAGTCTGCAGACTAGGGGCACACTAACTCATCAACTTCAGAGCAAAAGAAAAGTACACTCTGTTGGGGGGTGTTGGAGAGTTAGAGATTATAATGTTAAAAATCTCAGGTCAGGAGAGGAGTGAAGAGAGTGAAGTATAGAGTCTTGACTGAATGACCTTTAAACCCCAAATCATCATTCTCTCTTAATTGGCTAATTCCAGGTGGTTGGTGGGATGGCACCAGCTTGTCTGTTGGTGGCCAGTTGGGGAATTTCTAGCTAGAGATGTTTTTGATATTGTTTTCAGGAATTGCTCTTTGATTTGGTTGCAGATAAGCAGGTTTTGCAATACTCTCCAAGGACACACGGAGCATGACTGCTTGCTCACCCTACCATGGCCTCTTGGTTCTACTTTTCACTATTGAGACAGGGAGTTCATCTTTTCATCTTGTCTGTCAATTGAAGGCATGATTTGACATTAATAAGGCCTTATGAATGCATCCCTAGTGTCATTTCAAAAGGATTTTGGAGTGAGTAATGATAAATGGAGTTACACCATGGAAAAATGTGTGATCTTAAGTAGGTTTAACAGGATCACAAGAGCTCACCTGTAGAGTCAGCACAGTTTATATATGTTGGGAATTGATTCTCTGTCAATTTTTCTTAAATTTGAACTAAAGTTGTGACTGCTGGGTATAACATCATCATTAGTAGTGCTTCAACTTAGTAGCATTTTAGCTTCCTCAGAATTCGAGGTTGGAAGAGTTGATTTTATGAACTGTCATGAGATGGTAAACTAGACTTCTTCAAACTTAAATTTTTTTCTGACATTATTTCAATCATTTCATGTGCCGTAACAGTTAAAAATGGTCAAAGTATACATGCTTAGATAATCAGCTATTACCCTGCCTGTTTGACTAATTCGCCAGTGATTATTTCCATCAGATAAAGGTTCTCTGGCATGCCATTAAAATGCATAAAGACAATAGAAGGAATTCTCAATTATTCTGTAACACTCAATACAGATCCTTGCTTGCCATAGATTATTTGTAAGAAAATCACAAAGCTGTACTCTTTCTGGTACATAGGTGGTAGTATGCTATTCTACCTCCTCATTATGACTGGTTGTTACATTTAAGCAATTTGCTTTCAATGGAGCCACCACCGCATTTCTTCGAAGGACGTGTGTTTTATCAACTTAAAGTAGTTTTGACAACTCTTTGACTCCAAAACATATTAGTCCACTAGAGGAGAGTGTTCCTACTTATTTTGAGCTAGTCTTTTCCAAATGTATCTACAGAAAATGAGAAAGGAAGATGTAATTATATATAGCAAGTACGTGAATGAAATTCATATACTCTTGACTATGAAAAGAAAAAATGGCTTTCATAGATTATTTCAATATCTGTTTTATTAATCAGTACTTTAAAAATATCTGAAATGAGTAAGACTTTTTTTTTTTTTTTTAGTTTCAACATTTCAATTGGCTTTATTCAGGATTCTACAACTGGGCATTTCATTTAATAAAATAGAATAAGTGTTCAAATGAGCTGAGCAAAAGAAGTGGGATTTATATACAGTCAAGGACTGAAGAAAGCAGAAGCAAAGAACAAAGAGTGTATTAGTCTTTTCAAAGCCATTTTTTTGTAAGGCAGAGATAGGAAGACAAAACAATAAAATAATGACTGATAGCTCATATTAGGTTACTTCAGCCTTCTTTTGCGTAGGGATTAAAGCAGAGGGAACTTCATTACAATGCCCACTGAAGATTTAAACTGGCCTGTGTGGGTAATTGGCTGTTATTTCTCCTGATTTTTTGGAAGGTCAGGTAATAGCTGAGATTATTTCGATTTGGTGACCTGGAACTTTAGCATGGGTGACTCCATTTTGATTTTTAGTCTAGTATGTTGGGGCCTAGACTTTTAAAAGTCCTTTTCATGAGGAACCTTTGAGATATAATTGTATAATTTACTTTTTTTTAACACTTACACAGTCAACATACTAGATTACCATTAAGAGAGAGTGAAATTGATTTACTGTATTTTCAATTTGAGTGTGTGTGCTCTCACATCACGTTTTGGAACAATACATGTTTCAAATAAAAAATAATGTAACTAATTGCATTACATAATGTAACTAAATCCAAAAAGGATATACAATTCATCCACAAAACTTCATGGCATTTCGTTATGCAATAATGGTGTACTATTACTACATATAAAAAATTAAAAGCACATTTCAAAATCAATCATTTTTTTAAAATTCTAAGGTGTTAAAAATCTTATATTCTAAGACTTTTTCCTGGGCAATGTTTCCTATGGCATAAAACATCTATATGGATAATTTTCTGAAGAGAAATTAAAGGAGGAAAAAAATTATTATATTTAATTTTACATATATGCGTATACAATATGTAATAAATATACCCTTATACTTACACATTAATGTAAGCACATATACATTCATATAATATGAAGGAAAACAAAAGTGCAATTTTAGAGGTGATTTCATCTTAAGAATAAAAGAATAGAAGGAATTTCTGACAAAAAAGGCAATATTTAAAAAAATTATGTGCTTACTTTTACATTCTAATAATAATACTGATGGCTAAATTACTCTATTCATTGAAACAGAATGAGGAAAGGTCATTACTGTTTTTCATTGAGCACTTTTAAATGTTCACACACACAACACACACACAGGGTGGGGTAGGGTTTTTTGTTCTAAAAGGTGTTTCAGTGTTTATTATCATGTATTTCATCTGGTTTCTTCTAAAATTGTTTATGCCTACAGCTTGGAAAATTATAGTTTAAGTAAGAATAGTTATTTCTTTGTGCCACACTTTTAGAGCAAAATTGGAAATCACAGTTTGAATCCCCTTCTTTCTCTGTTTCTTAAATGCAAAATCTACTAGTCATAAATGTCAGTTTTACATTGGAACACAATCTACTTAAAAATACAGTACATACAAAATTGAAAGTGTCTTCTTTGTTCTTTCCTACAACTTGAATAATGTTGAGTCAAAGGCATTTTGTTGTTTAATACTATTAAACTTTAGTCCTATACGTGTTATCAAATAAGCCTACATTTCAAGTTTAAAATCTTTTTAAAACATGTCTTTTCCTTCCTACTGTTCTTTTAATTTTGCACATTATAAGCCTAATTCTCCAGTCCACAGGTTTACGCAGGGGGTGGGGAAAATTGCAATTCTCACCCCTGTGGGAGCTTTGCCTTTCTCTGCAAGTCTGTTCTACCCCAAGACCCAGGAGATGTTGAGGAAGCAGTGTGTGTCCCCTGGCAGAGTGATCTACTCCTAGTCTGTGCTACATCACATCTTTGTGTCATCTCTGTGTGTAAGTGTGTGTGTGTGTGTGTGTGTGTGTGTGTAATATTGTGATATTGTGCCAGCATACAATGGCTCAATAACTTGACAACTGCAGGCAGGTGGAATTTATTGCTTGTAACAGGGAACTAAAAATGGTTTTGATGTGGAGATAAGTTTTTTCACACCCTATAGTTAAGGTGGAACCCCATGTAGATGATAAGAAAAATAAAACAATAAATGGAGTATGATCTTTTTTGTAGTCTTATTATGTTGCATAATTTTTTATGTTATACAACATAAAAAATTTTTAACTTGCCTTAAACATTGCATTATATTGAGAATCATAGTGCAACAAAACAGGGCTAAGTATCTCAACAAGCAGTGAAACCAAGTACTCCAAATATTTGTAAATTAAGAACATCTCTATAAAGTATTTTAGTACACTATGTCTGGGACGAATACTTTTCCTAAAATTAATTCTAATGACTGAAACTTAATTAGACATATTGCATGACAGAATTTAATAATAGTTAATAAAGAAAACCATGCATTAGTAGCTGCAGATTTTGAGTGAGACAAAATAGGAGTACCTTAATGATTAATAAAAATAGAAAAAATAAAAAGAAAACCGATATGTAAACTTACTACCAAATTTCTGTATATTCTTTCAACAGGTAATGGGGAGATGAAGGAGAGTGTAGATGAATAATTTCCCTTAAAATATTCTTATCTATGTTTCAAGTGAGTTCAAGTGTCCAAAAAAATAAAATGGAGAGGGAAATGATATGCATCATTAATGAGAAGAACTAAAACACTTAATTAGTATTTTTTAAAAAAGCATTTCCTCACATGTTGCAGTCATTTGTGTTAGTGTGGTACACACATCTGTGGAGTATACAAACATCTGTGAAGTGCTATAATTGTTTCTGGTAATAGGTTCTTCAGAGCTAACATCTGATGCTCTGCAATTCCAGAATATTTGATGCTTCTATCTAGATGAAGAACTCACATTATAGGCCCATACCCCTGTGTCTCTATGCCCACCCTCACTATTGGTTTGAAACATTTTAAAAATCTAAATGCATACCAAATGTGTCACATAGAGTTTCCTTCTCTAGACTCCTTAAAAATTCTACCTGTCTCCAAGACCTTTGATTCTCTATTTTAATGTTTCAAATATCTATACAATTAGTTGGCAAAGAATTGTTTCAAATCAGATTTATTGTGATGAATTTATATTTAATACTTAGAAAAATTATGATGACATGTTCATGCATACTGGCTATATAAATGAATGTCTAATATCAGTGAAATGATGGAGGGATTGAGGACCAATTGAGTATTTCACATTACTAGTCTAAGCATTTAACAAAATCAATTCTTATTCATAATGTTGTTAAAAGAGCACAGGTCTTGAGATCGGATACACTTGCTTTGGAACACTATCATTGTCTTTAAATGTGATTTTGACTCAGTTTTCATTAATTTCCTTAGGCCTCTTTTTCTTTATCATGAGAATGATTATTTATGAAGCAAAAACTGTGCCAATGTTAGATGTTCAGTTCCCTGCCACCTTTCCTTTTCAGTGGCAGCTGAAGTATCAAAATACGAGAACACAAATGATATGTTTATACAATTGTAACATTATCAATATATTTTTTAAAAAGCATTTTGAAATATGGCTGTATTGTCAGAACTCATTAATATCTAGTGAGTAGGAAAAATTATAATTTTCTAATTTGTTATTAATAATTCATGTCTAAGAAATTTATAAAAAGATGGGTAAATGAATTAGTTCTGTATTTTCTTATGACATTGCAAGTATTCTCACTTTGGAAATGTTACTACTTTTCTGGCATTTAGATTCTGAATGAAAACTACTTAAATCATTGCAATTGACACTATCCAGATTTGTTAAATACCATTGATAGAGGCAGGAGACAGCCAAGTGCCTAGGCAGGTAGGGGAGGGTCCCCCAAGAACCTCCAAACCACCCAGGTCATTGTGCACAAGGGGCTTGCCTACACACGCCCACATTGAAAAATTCCACCCCTTAACACATGCACAGTAAGGGAAATAAATCAATGTGGAGTGGCTCAGACTAAGGGCCTGCATGTACACTGGATGGATGGGGTGAAGCCACCAGGAATTCATGCCTTATGCATGGAAGGAGCCTGGCCTCTTCAGCTCGTGTGTGGAAGTCCTGGTACTCCATTGTGAGGGGGAAATCTGCTTGGAGAACCCCTCTCTTTGCAGAGCTTTCCTTTCACTTAATAAATTCCAACCTCCTCACCCTTCAATGTGTTCATATTCCTAATTTTTCACTGTCTTGAGAAAAGAACCTGGATTTAGCTGAACTAAGGAACAAAAATCCAGCATCATTTTGGTGGTCTATATGGGGACACATCAGAAGGGTGAGTAAAATGCAGACACAAAAATCTCTTTTACTTTTGTTTCTGAGCTTTCTCGTCCTCAGACTTTTTCTGAGGGCAAGGGAAACTGTCCACTCCTACCGTTGTTCTCAGGGGTTGGGAATGTTGGCCTTGGTCCAACCCAGTCTTTTCTTTGGCATTTTCCTTATTTTTGTTTTTGTTTTTGTTTGTTTGTTTGTTTTTTCAGGACTGTAATGACATCGATCTTTTCTCTTACAATATTGGGGGTGTTCCACCCCTCACCCCAATGGCCACGGGCTCACGTGCGGAACAGATGGACAAGTGGTGGCTCCCGTCCCCTGCCCCTCCTCCCCAAGGGCCCTGCATGTCCTGCTGGCCAGCATTTCCCGCTGGCCATCCCCTCCTACCAGATGCCCATGGAATGTTTCCCCCTCTGGATGAGTCAGGAAGGAGAAGACAGCAAGAGTTTCTCTCCTTGTTGGAGAAATCCATTTGCATAAGAATAGGAGGTTCTTCCCCCAGGCATCTTCCCCACCCAGCACTCAAACTGTTCTTTTTTCTTTTCTCCACCCTGTCAGCAGTTAACACAGCCCTACACTTAAGCTGATTTTTTAATTTTTTTTTTTTTAATTTTCTCTACCAGGTCAGGAGTTGATGGGTTGGCATGAAGGTAGTTGTGGGGTTTTTTTGCCATTAGAATGGTAGGGATGGCAATTGCTTTTGCACCAACCTAATAACATAGCCCTGTGAGTACAGGGGACTTGTCTATGCCAGAGGATTTTTCTGAAAGGTGTTTTACTAGGCCAGGACCTCAGTTCACAAGATACATTTCTCTTCCTTGTTTGAGGAGGCAGCAAAGGAGCAACGCTGCTGACTGGTGGCTGCCGTCTGGCGAGGGACACCTGACACTTAATAATGAGTCCATGCAACCTCCTGAGGGAGTTATTTTGTCCCAAACTCAATTCCAAGCTTTGGGTTGAAGCCCTAGGAAAGAAAACTGGATTGGAGGGATCCAGAGGCAGACAACAACAGAGGTTAGAAGGCACAGTGCAGGTAAGCATGACTAATTCCTGCTGATTAAGGCAAGCATCCCATTTCATGCATGGAGGTCATGCTAACATCCATGGAATAAATGAGGTCTAGGGAACTCAAAGGTTACAACAGCAGGGTGGGGCAGAGGGTATGTGGGTAAGAGTAGATAATCCCAGCCCCTAGATCCCCTGTTAACATGAGTGAAAGCTGCATTGGCACCCACAGTGGCACCCTGTTGAGGTCACCAGGACTCAGGGATATAAGGATGGAAAAAAGAGAACGGATGCCTCCTCTCTCTCCCTCACATAGTCTGGGTATTCACTGGGAAGAGAAGGGAGTTAGGAGTGCCTTATCCCCTCTTCCCTGATTGGTAACCTTTCATCTTCTTCTTCCATCTATAATTCTCTCGAATCTCTCCTGAACCCCTAGAAATTTGAAATAAAAAACAAATAGCCTTCCTTTTCCTTTTTTCTCCTCTGTCCTCTCTTCACAGATAGGTAATTGTGTCCTCATACTACAGGACACTTCCCTTGGATGCATACTCCAAACTGGGAAAACTAAAATTTCCTAAATCTTAAACTGGTTGGCTTAGAATTGAGCTTGGGGGAAGGGAACCCGGAAGCCTGGGATGCTGGCAAAAAGGTAAAAGATTTTTACTACTCGGACTTTTGGTTTCTCTCTCCCTGTGCAAACCAGTAAAAGGAATGGTAAGGATCACTGTTTATATTCTCTGTAAAGTTTTGATTAATGGAAAAGGATTTGTGATGTTGGTTTTAAGCTGTAGCCAATCTGGTGTGCTTTGCATATCTTTCTATATGGTTCTGTTAGAAAGAAGGATGTCTTAAGATAAGATGCAGACCTAGGACCCCCATAAACCAGCTGTTCACGTCAGCCCAGCAAACTGCCCAGTAACAAACTTTGCAGCAGGCCTCCATCTTGTTTTACATTCTTAGGAACATGACCTGTAACCTCTGCAGTTTTACAATAGTGAGCCAGGTTCAATTCTAACTTGGGGAATGAGTACTTTAATAGTTGTGTGAGTTTTGTCATTTGTTAATTCTCTTCCCCTCTATGAACAACTTCTACCTTCCTTTCTTAAATCTTCCTTTCTCTGGGTTACCCTTAAAGATTCCAGATGTTGTAAAAACTGCTTTCCCTACTTTGAAAGACTTTTCACACTCACGATTAAGTCAGAACCTTAATTAAGGCTTGTTGGTTTTACCTGTGAAGTTACTTTTGGTAAAGCACAAAAGCCAGAAATATTGGCCGCTTGATATGGCTGAGGTCAGGTAACAAGGGATCCAAAAGGATTTTCTTAAAGAGCTCTCAGCTTAATTAAAAGTGGATATCCAAGCTATAGGTATATTTAAAAGGCATTTATGTTTTTCTTTTCTTGGATCTTGTTTTAGTGGAAAAGATTTTTTTTTCTTCTCAGTTGACTAAATTACTTTTCTCCACTTTGTCTTGCTACTCTTAATGCATGTGTGAGTGGCCCTAATAAAATTCCTGATGGTCTGGGACTCTTTGGAAAAAACAGAAAAGGTGCTGTAAATTCCATTTTAGTAGAAACCTGTGTTTTTCTCATAGGACCCCAGGAATTAGAGATGGATAGATTCCCCTCAAAATCTGTTTTGTCTTCTAGCTGTATCTGTTTATTAGACCCTAGAAACTGCATGCTTTCTTATGCTTTCTCTTAAACGGCACTCCCCAGAGGCGAATAAGCCAATTAGGAGATTGGCAAATGAAAAATCTTGTAAATACTGGATCTTCGTCTGTCTGTCTGTGTAGTTACATATGTGTTGTGTGTTTTGCATATAAAAAAGAACTCTAATGAATTGGCTTAAAAATAGGTATTTAGATCAAATGTATTTTTAAGAAAAGGTAAAGCTGTAATAACTTTTATTTCACATGACTTTAATCTTTGAGAAATAAAAAGTATTAAAGATAATTGGTGAAATGCAAATGTTGTTAAAAGGTAAATAGGTGGTCTAAATTGTGCAAGTCAGATACTAGGTTTGCTAAATGTTTTAAGTTGTAAACTGCCTCTTTGGCCTTTGAGAACTGTTTGACTTGCCTCCTTTACATCTTGGCAAGGCCTCAGGAGATATGGAATTAACTACATCCTTAACTATGCTGGAAGGAGTCAAATTTTTTCGGGACCTAGTTCATAATTAAAACAACTTACCAGATTTTTTATTAAAGTTAAAAATTGCTAAGTGTTACCATTATAACATGTAATTGAGACCACTGAAAACAGATTTACCTGCAAGATAAGTAAGAACAGTAAAATGTGTTTTTAGTAAAAGATTTTAAGAAGGCATGGAAATGTAAATTTTCGCCTAGGGTTAAAGGCTGGTTTTAAATTAGGTAAAATAAACTAAGGGTTTAAACAAGTTGTGGAAGTTTGTAAAAATGAACTTTGCAAAAGGAATTCTGTGTGTAAATATATTGACTAAATTCAAAAGGATATTATATGTTTTTTCCATAAATTGTGCATTAAAATAAAAGCACTACAAGGTTCTCTTAAGGCACTAATCTGCTCTTTAGCAAAATTTTTAAAGGGTTATACAAAGCTTATAAGAATCTTACCTCATAGTCAAGCTGGTTAAGAATGGGTATAATTGTCTTTTAGGTTTCTTTAGGAAATTGAGGTTTGGTTGGGCATGGTGGTTCACTCCTGTAATTCCAGCATTTTGGGAGGCTGAGGCAGACAGATCACTTGAGGTCAGGAGTTAGAGACCAGCCTGGCCAACATGGTGAAACCTTGTCTCTGGTGAAAACACAAAAATTACCTGGGTGTGGTGGCGGGTGCCGGTAATCCCAATTACTCTGGAGGCTGAGGCAGGAGAATCACTTGAACTCAGGAGGCAGAGACACAGTGAGCTGAGATTGTGCCACTGCATTCCAGCCTGGGCAACAAAATGAGAATCTGTCTCAAAAGAAAAAAGAAAATTCAGGTTGACGTTAATAGTAAACTAATGTAAGGGTAAAATTTGGTTTTCTCTTCTTGTACAAAATTTTCATGTACTAGTAAAGGATAATGGAAGATTTTCATTTGCCTTGCAAATAAACTGCCAAGGAAAAGAAAGTGAAGACCAGAGACAAATTGGAAAGCTAAGTCTTCCCTCTTAATGAGTAAAAGTTTTTGCTTTGTTTTAAAAATTTTTTAAATCATTATTTTGGCTAAATAAATAGCTAATGTTAGTCTGGAATTGTAGTTCATTATTTCAAGTGTCTTAAACTTCTAACATATTTAACAGGCTTCCCAAAATCAAACTGCAGTTTCAAGGTTATCTTTTCTGATTCCTAGCTTTTGGATGCTACAAAGGGCCCCTGGAGCATCCAAAAGAGAGGTAAACAAGATTATTTGACATTTTTGGGTATAGGGGCTTGCCAAAATGATGCTTAATCTTCTTCACATTATATTGCAGTGAATAACATTAATATATTTTCCAAAATTATATGGGATTTTTAAAATTTTAAAGTCTAAGTATATGCTATCAATCTTAATTAAGGTTATTAAGTTATTGTAAACCACAAAGATAATGAAATTTCTTTGTCATTTGTGTTTTTAACTGTAAAAATGCTGGACATTATGTTATTTACAGACAATTGTTTTGATCCTCTTCAAACGATAGTTTATGATAAGCTATAGAACTTTGACAGGTGCTCTCAAATGCAAGTTTCTGATAACTTTGGAGGATGTAACATTGGAATAGAGGAAAAAAGTACAGGACTCCATGAAGAGCTGACATGTTCATGAATAGTAAGCGGAGCAAGAACTAACGGAATGGACTGAACTAATAGAAAACGGAAGTAATCTTTTTTTTCCTTTTGCTTAAAACATTGCTGATCCTTGTTTTGTTTTTCAGAGTCAAGGAAACTTATTTTGAGCTATTTACAGCCTTTAATAATTGAGTAAGGTATACTCTTGTGAACATAATTTGGAGTATATTTCTTTCTTTCTGCCTGGCTTCTCCAAAATTTTGAAACTAGTTGTGAGTATTCTTAACTTACGGCAATATAGTTATTTGCATCAGGGCAGTAAGAATCCATTTTCTTTTGCAAAGGAACAAAATTGCAGAAACTGGTTGTTTTACCAAGGCTTTGACTGAAAGAATGTGCTTCCCTTTAAGGAATCAAGCTTAACTTGCAAAGCCAATAAAAGCCCCTTGGGAAAAGTGACCTCATACCTTGTCTACATAGTCCCCTTATGGGGTTCCTAACCTGTGGTGAGTAAAGAATACCACTTTCTAACAGCCCTAGGAACCCCATGTTCTTGGGACCTCAAGAAGAGAGGAGTTTACCCAACTCTTAGATATTTGAGGGCACAAATCCATGGCTTGGCTCAACTTTAAAAGGCTTTATCTGAGGTTCCTTGTGGAAGAGAGTCCCATCAAAGCCAATTTAAAAGGCCTATGTAAAGTTAATTATCTTGCTGCACTTTATGCAAATAATCAACCCAAGTATAAGGCTAAAGTTTGTTTTGCAAACAATATGGTCCTATCATGATTTGTTTATAACAAAAATGAGGACTGGAGAGAGAACAATTATGTTTCAAAAGTTATCATGCATTTGCCACTAAATTCTAATCTCATTAGTTGTTTTTAAGTCCTTTGTCTACATTTTAGACTAACCCTGTTTATCTTATAAACCAACCAGTTATCTCTGGCTGCAACTCAGAAGACACAAAAAGGAATCAGTAATATAACAATGTGGATCAGAATTCTAGTTCTGGGCAATTATCCTGCAAATCCTGCCTGGTGATAGGAATAAATAGGGTGCCCATAACCCAGATATTTCCTCTGGGAAAATAAGACCACAGTAGCTAAACAAAGCAAAGCCCATGCACCCCAATCTTAGTAGGCATAACTGTAGCCAGTTATCTGGCTGTGGCAGCAGCCTTGGGATTTTTGAGCTGTCCTTACCCTACCCCTTGTTTCATTTTGATACATATCTTCTAATAACCCAGTTTGTATAACCAGTTTGTCTCTTCTCACTTTCAGGCCATCAAACTCCAAATGATCATGCAACCAGAGCCTCAGAGAACACCCCTTTAACTGAGAACCCTTAGATTGGCCTCTGAGGGAGATTTAAGTGCTATTTTCCCAAAACAACACCCCCTTTCAGAAGGAAGCCGTTAATATTGGTCATCATCCTTATCCTCCAACCCACCTAGGTCATTGTGCACAATGGGCTTGCCTAAACATGCCCATGGTGAAAAATTCCATCCCTTAGCACATGTGCAATAAGGAAAGTAAATCATTGTGGACTGGCTCAGACTAGGGGCCTGCATGCACACTGGAAGGACAGGGTGGAGACACCAGGAATTCACACCTTATGCAAGGGAGGGGCCTGGCCTCTTCAGCTTATGTGTAGAAGTCCTGGTACTCCATTGTGAGGAGGAAACCTGCTTGGAAAACCCCTCTCTTTGCAGAGAGCTTTCCTTTCACTTATTAAATTCTGTCCTCCTCACCTTTCAATGTGTCTATGTGCCAAATTTTTCCTGGCTGTGAAACAAGAACCCAGCTTTAGCTGAACTAAGGAGTAAAATCCTGCCTCATCATTAAGAAAGCACTGTAAGCCTCTTTGAAATACATTTTTATGAAAATAGAAACTATAATAATTACTAGAATTGTGCCAAATTACAGACATACCAATAAAAAAGAAAGAAAATACCAGTTATGACAATTTGCTTCTCAGCTATAATTTTGTTCCATATTTTACTCTTTCCTTAATGGAGTAGTTTCTAGGTGAAGATACAAAATATTTATCTTATTGAGAAAAGTGTGGCTTCATTACAACTGATTTGCCAAAACTATAATGTCATCAATCTGAATTCTATTATTTCATTGTGGTCAATTTAGCTTCAGTCTCAATTTTTGACATGGACTTGTATTTCATGCCCTTCTTGTAGGAGTTAGGGATATTTTAAATTCAAGATGTGGCTTCACATTTTACATTTTGATATTAGAACTCCACTTCTATCAATGGTATATATTAAAAATGCTCATTTGCAGAAACTTTCTATAGATTTTGTAAAACTAATCTTGAGAATTCTATTCAAAATCGTTAAATATCACTTATATAATAACTACAACCAAATGATTCTTAGGGTTTGGTATTAAGCATTTTATTTATTCTCCCAAAAACGGGCTTGCACTTCTTAGACTGTGAAAGCCAAGTATTCACTGTATTTTCACTTTTAATTCATTTAAAGCAAGTGAATAAATAAGGTTTTATTAAAATGCAGTAGTTATATGTATCCTAATTTTTGGCACAAATAAACACTCTCTCATTCTCATTCATTAGTTGGGTCTTATTATTTTATTTGTTGTCAGAGTTCTAGGGCTTGTGGGGTGTGTGTGTGTGTGTGTGTGTGTGTGTGTGTGTGTGTATGTGTCTTTGGTAAGTCAACTATAATATTTATGGAGGTCCTTAAATTATAGATGAAAAACGAAATCAATTTATATTTGTAAAAAGGATCATGAATACTATTTTTTATCCTGAATGAGAAAAGCAAGGTTACTAAGTGTAGCAATAGGTTCTAATTTTGCATAGATGATTAAAGTGAAATAAAGGGTAAGATTGTGGAATTTTTTAATACTTCAGAGCAGATTACTGAGGAAAGTTGAGAAATCTTTTTTAAAAACTTAGAGGAGGTAACAACACTCTGAAATTCCTATCTATACACTGCAATTATTTTTGAAAAAAATATGATTTAATAATGATAAACTTTGGACAGTGTTTTGCTGAAAATTAAATAGGCACCACCTTCCAGAGCAATATCAGTATTGTGGTATTGCTAAAGCTTTCCAAGTTTGACCATCTGTACTCCTAGACTTATCCTAAAGAAGTAAACAGCCTCACTGAAAAATCTCCAGTGCTTTTGTCTTCTTTACAATTGCCTTGAATATGAATAAGAACTTTCATCCTTTGAACAGTGTTTGAAAGAATCTACCTGAAACACAAATGATTAAAAACCAACAGCTGTATAGTAATGGTATGTAGAAACTTTACAGAAGAGAGTAGATCTGTTTCTGTAACTTTATATATGAAGAAATAAATATGAATCAATTTTTATTTAAAATGTGTTCAAATATCATACTCTTAATCAAGAAACAAAATAATGCCTTTTATTTTTTAAAAATTAACAGAAGATAATTTCTACTTTTTAAACTTTATTTCTGTCAGTAAAGTATCACACTGTATTTGTTGCCTTTCTTCAAGAAACACACTATTCCATAACTTCCTTCTAAGAAGCATTATGAGTATGCCTTTTACTAAAGTACCAGCTACAGAAGTCATGCATTTCTCAGAATTTTACCTAAAAACTGCTGTTATATTCTTTCCCTTTTTCATTTAGGCATTTAAATGAGATGGGTACTTTACAGATACTCATTAGTGGATCTGATTCTTTCTCTAGCAGTCACCTTCACAGGAGGAAATAGAACTGGCATCATGCATACATTCAAATTCTAAAATTGTATTCGAGAGAATAAAAAAATTATCTTCTCTTCTTTCTCAATTTTAATTCATTTTCTCTTTTGGCTCACAAAAGGGGCACAATTAGGTGAGGTGTCATGGGGAAGAGGCCGGGGAGACAAAAGGGAAAGACATTCTCGTTAGTTGAAATTGTATTTCCTGCTTGTTAATTATCTGGATGCTGAGCTACCTGACTTGAGAAAAGTAACTTTTTAAAATGTTGCCATGTCTTTGTAACAGATTATTAACATAAAGTTTAAATTTTAATTGGATATTTGGTAAGTGACCTTTATTACTCCTGGAAGGAACATGATATGCAATAATTAAATAATCCCATTGGAGTCAAGAGGATTCCAAATGTCAAGATGGCATTGAAAGTGGAACAGGCTGCGCTTCTAATTTTCAAAATCAAAATAGCAAAACAAACCACACACAGTAAACTCACTGAGACAATGAAAATAAGACTACTGTCCACCAACGCATTACCGATACATCTTTAGAAATATGTAAAAATAAAATCCTGAGCCCTTCATGCTTAACCACAGTAATGAATAGGACCTACTACTTAAGTGTGATTAGATGTTCTCAGGGATGAGAAGAGTATTGAATTAAATATAGTATTGAATTAAATATGTGTTTTATTATGTAAAAAATACGTCACAATGCTACATGGAAGTAGGTTTGATGGAGTCATTGACATTGGAATTTACTCTGCAAAAAATTTGACTACTGCAACTCCACTAAACTTGTGATGAGGAAACTTGTGATGATGAGTGAGAGTATGAGATTGTTCAGAAAGTAATATAATGTGTACCTTCCCAAGAAGGAGGAAGTATGTCTGTGACAGGATAAACACTGTTTGGGAATTTTAATACTGTATTTTCTTCTTCCTAAAACATCAGTTTCCTCTGATCATATTTAAGAGGTTAGCCAGCCTTATATTTCATTTCCTCAGGGTATGTCTAAGGCAGAGCAAAAAGTAAAGGGGGCAAATCAGTCTAGTTTTTGCTTTCTGAATGTTTAAGCTCTTGGAAGAACTTAGTAAATTTAAAGTATAAGTAAAAATAACAAAGAGCCTGGTGCAGATGTCAAAATAGGTCCCAATCTTGCCACTGACTAAAGTATTTTATCAAAGAGAGACAAGCTGATAAGGAAGACAAATTGTTTTCGCTATGATTACCACTTATGAGGAGACCCGTGACAGGGCAAAGTATTCAGATTTATCATTTGACCTGAGAATTAAAAGCTCAAAGCTATTTAGTAATATGTTTAACATATATTTTAGCAAGAATGGTGTACAGGAGCAAGGTAAGCCTCTCATTCTATTGCTAAATATACTCAGTAGAGCCTTCAATTTTATCTCTGCTCCAGAGGGTTCTGGCTCTGAAGACTTTTTCTCTGACTGAAGTGATGTGATTCATCAATTTCTGCCTTTCACAATCGTAAACACAACTTTACATGCCATAAACTATTTCTTTCTACTATGATCACTGTTAGCAAATTATTACTCCTACTTTAACTTACAACTGGACCCAATTTGTATGCAGACTTCCATCAAAACATTTGCTTTGCTTCAGCATTTCCTTAAATCAAAACCTACTGTTGGATTCTATGTTAATACAGCACATACGTATTGGGTAATCTACAAATGTATATGTAGAGTATAATTATGCATAGTTATAAAAGTACATACACACATATCATATGTATACAAATTATGAATTATTAGGTAAACCACTTAAAGAAAATTTAGAATATACTTCTGATGGTTAGTATTAAGTGTCAACTTGATTGGATTGAAAGATGCAAAGTATTGTTTCTGGGTGTGACTGTGAAGATGTTGATAGAGTTGCATCTGTAACTATTGTAGTACTTTCAATATTTGTAATTTCACTTATGACTATAATTAATTATTATATATAATTATTTTGAAATGCCTACCATTGAAAACATAATTTTGAATCAACTACTGCTGCTGCTGCTATTACCACCACTACAACAAATATAATTATGACTACAGCCAGACAATATTTATTGAAAATTTATTCTTTTCCTTCCTAATCACATTGTAAATAATAAGCTTTTACTAAGCACTTATTTTGTGTCTTTCATTGTTTTAAGTGTTTTGTATGTATAAACGATTTCGATATTATTTTATTCTTTTAAGCTTCACAACATATTAATGAAGCAGCTACATTTGGTTAGCTACTTTAGAGATGAGGAAACAGAAGAACAGAGAAACCTATAAAACTAATATGTTGCATAAAACTAACGTAACATTTTATAATATACCATTAAAATAATTTGCATTGGAAGTGGATGTTTTTTTTAAAAAAATTGTTCTTTGAAGCTTAGAATATTGAGTAATAAATCATTTGAATAAAGTAACAGGCAACTCTTTATATATATATATATATTTTGGGGGGGTGGTAGTTCGCTTACCCTTAAATAATTTTGTTATACAAGTTTTCTATACCTCAACAGAAAAAAGAAAAGTGAACTCTCTGGTACTGAATTCCCTAGTGTTGTCCAGAAGTCCAGCATTTTGCTACTAGAAGGAATCAATTAGGGGCATAGTATTTACCTTACTTAAATGTGATATGAAAATACCCTTGAATATGGTTTTTGTCTATTTTAGATTGCATATAATTTTATAATTACAATTTACCCTTAATTCATTTTTTATTTAAATATGTAAGTTTTAGCAGGAAAGCACCTATATTGAAAAAGATTCTCCTATAAGGTAGTAATCTGCCTTCAATTACTGTTCTCTCCTAGAATTCGTCAATTTTCTCTATTGACTTTTTCTTGTTATTTTAATTGTAAAAATAACACTTTTGGAAGAAACCTATTGCATTAGTCATTAAAACGTTTAGAAGAAAAGCTTCAGCCATCACATCATGTTTCACCTTATAGTTCTAGAAGACAAAAACCATAATTGTGTTACCAATGTGCCCTCCCATAACATAGTTCCTAAATGATTCATCTTTATAAAAAAATGTTTTTAAGACTGATAAGAAAGATTTAAAAGAGAAGAAATATGATCTTATCTTCTTTTCTACAATCCATAAGCCAATATAGAACAGGAAAGTGTTTTTAAGTAATGCTATTTCATGCTGAACGTGAACAGCACAGGGAAGATTATTTTTCCTATGGAAAGGAAAGTCAAATGGCCAAAAGCTTATTACTTACTACATAGCCCAAGATACAAATATGAGTAGCAGGTATTTCCAAATGAAAGTGCCACATAAAGGCAGCAGTACAGTCAAATATGAAAATTTTTCAAAGAATCTGATATATAAGCACAAATACTGAAGGAAAATAGTTTCTATAATCTTTTGCTATTTGTGATATTTGGAATCAAATGAAGCCATTCCATTTAACTTTCCACAGGCAAAAAAGATTATCCTGTATTTCCCTTAAAAGATAAATGAAAACTTATAAGAAAAACATTGCTTGTAACCTACATAACCTACAGGCACAGCACAGTCATATTAAGCCCGTTTTGAACACAGTGGTGCAGATCATGACTTGGGAACATTTTTCATTATCTAGGCAGATGACATCACAACAAGTCAATTTAACATTTTGGTAAAGAAAAATCTCACTACTTGATCACACTGTGATAAAAATAAGTTTATAGTTGGTTGACATTGTTCTGAAAAGAGAAGCTTCTATCATACAATCATTTGTATCTTACATTTAAATATTTTATATTTCTTTCACTTCAACTTTCATGCTTTCTAAACAGAAAGAAGCCAGGTAATGAATATTAAAAAGAATAATATTTGAAAGAGAGATATCTGTGTATTTACTAACACAAATACATAAAAGACACTTTTCCAGCCAGGCGCGGTGGCTCACACCTGTAATCCCAGCACTTTGGGAGGCCGAGGTGGGCAGATCACCTGAGGTCAGGAGTTTGAGATCAGCCTGGCCAATATGGTGAAACACTGTCTCTACTAAAAATACAAAAATTAGCCAGGCATGGTGGCAGGTGCCTGTAATCCCACCTACTCAGGAGGCCGAGGCAGGAGAATTGCTTGAACCAGGGAGGCGGAGGTTGCAGTGAGCCGAGATCGCGCCATTGCACTCCAACCTGGGGGACAAGATCGAGACTTCGTCCCCACCCCCCCCAAAAAAAAGACACTTTTCCAACAATGTGATTACTGATGAACCTCTCATACAAATATAATATTTATATATTTTAATTTTTATAACAAGTAGATGAACAATTCAATGCTATATATGTTAGATCTCATGAAATTATGGCACCTGAAGAATTTGCTCATCCTTTAGTTGCTATATAATTAGTTTATTCCAAAGTGTCTCAATGTCTTCTCTAGTCATTAAGTTCGAGTGATCTCAAAAGCAATGAGAAGTTTTTATTTTTCCCCGTTATCTGTCAACACAAGTTGGTATTTTCCAAAATACTAAATAAGGCCAAAGTTTATAATAATATAATTCATATATGCAAAACAATTTACATATGTATTGCTATCATTACTCTTAACCTTTGAATAATATTTTAAGCATAGAAAAATTTTTTTCATTATCTATTAGATATTTTTGTTTCTCTGAGCAACGCTGTGAAATAAATAGCATTGGGATTTTATAGCTTTTAATAAATGAGGACCTAATGCTCATTGAAAGGAAAAATGAGTTGCCCACTGTTGGAAAGTCATTCTCCATGTATATCTTGCATTTCTGCCTATCCTTTGAGCAAAGGTATTGATATATTTTGATTAGAGACTATGTTTTCAAGAATATTTATATAGCAAATAGCCTGGGATAAGATTTTAACACATTCTCACTAGAATGAATCATATTGTAAAGACTGACAGTACTAAGCATTGGTAAAGATATGGAGCAATGGTGACTTTTATTTTAACATTGAAAACATGCTGGGACTGGGCATTTCATCTTTTGTGGTTCTACGATTCTTAAAATCAAAACATAGGTTTGATTTTCACCATAATCTGATGACAACTGCAGATATTGTGGGTATCCCTTTAAATATTTCCATAAAGGCTTTCTGGCTTTCCTGGTATGCCTTGAATTGTTCATTGTTTGACTTGAACCTGTCATTCTCTTTCTTTAAATTTTCTAGGACCCTAGACAAAATCCAGGCAACTCCAAAATCTTTAACGCTATTGCTCCATTAAAACTCAAGTGCTAGAGCTATTGCAATGAACAATATTTCAGTTTTCTTCTTTCTCTGACCCAACATTGCTGTGTCTTTGGTGCCAAGGTAACATTTTAGCTAGCACATAGCATAAGTTTTAGACACTTCATAGTTCTTGACAATTTTGGTGACAAAGCTTACATGCTAAAAGAGAAATGATTTTCTCAAACTGAAAATATAAAGGCTATCTATGTGATAGAAGATACAAAAACCACTCTGGGAAATGGTAGGGAATGCTCTTTCCCAAGTTATGGACAAGGAGGACTGAAATAGGATCCCTCCGTTGTCCTATCTGTTAATGAGTATTGAAACAAGGTGCCCAAATTATTCTTTGGGTGTTAATCGCTTTCCTCTTAGCAGGATAAAAGAAAAGGTCCAGGGGTTCCTAAAAGTGAAATAAGTCATATCAGCAATGAGGAGGTGGAGCCTTGTCTGGGACAAAACCATAACTTTGTTTAGTTAAGTCCAGGCAGATGATATGATGCACAAAATGGGAAGCAAATGCAAAATATTGCTTGCTGCAACAAAGCCACTCTCTCACTCCATACATTTTTAAATTTACCCTTCTCTCAATCCCAGCATCAGCCACTTTAAGGAGAAAGATGATTAAAAGTGGGGCCAAGGTCTCCTTGTGTCCAAGTAGGAGTGAAGGGCATACATTCCTAGATTTCAACTTCTATGGCTTTGCTCAGTCAATGGTATTCAATTGATTAACCTACTTAGATCCATTGGGTATGAAGGTAAATGGTTTCAACAAAGTGAGTTTAGGCAGGGTTTACAGTGAGAAAGAGAACTAACATGTCTCTGAGGGTTATTTATGTTATTTTGCTTCTTCAATTTTCTCTTTCTGTTACTTCTAGGTCTGAGTGTGTAGTAAAAATTATGTGGGTTAATATGCTTGTACTTCCTTATTCTATAAGTGCCAAAGACAATTATCTCTACCAGGGAAGAGCTGCAAGTGTAGAAGAGCTAGTAAGACAAACTTCCTGCCATTTGCCACCAGCAACTGAGTCATGATCTAATGCAAATACTTCTACCCTATGATTTGCAAAGTTTTTACTGTATAAATGACATTCTTTTGATTAATAAGTTAGAAGCCTCAGTTGCAATGTCCCTGATTGTGGAGTCATCACAGCTCTCTCAGAAGGGATGCCTAAATAACTTTGAAAAAATTCAGGATCCTGAATGCCAAGTAGTTTCCAAGGCTTATGCAGGTTGATTCACAATACTCTACCCCTTTAGCAGTGGTAGAAGTACTGCCACCACTTCAGTGCCAAGAGCCAGAAAGGTGACTCAACTCTCATTGTACTATTTGGGTATTGAAATCAGTCCAAGTCTGTATTTTAGTTTTTCCATCTGGAGCCTCCAGCGGCAGTGGCCTCTGCCTCTTAGAGCAATTCCCTGTTGTTCTGGACTTGTAACCTCACTGACATGACTACTTTTTTGAAAAGCAACTTGCTACTGAGGGCTTATTGAAATGGGACACCTAACCTATAGAGACCCTATGATTCTCTGGCCTGATATTTTTATATTGGGATGGGTCAACTAGTACTCAATAATTAAAATAGGAGAGCTTCCTAAAGCCTAGCTATATGTGTCTGTTATCAATATATTGCCTCTAAACTTTAAATTCATCCTTCATTACTGTGAAATAATAAAAACCAAATTCCTTGAACCATTTCTCCTTTACAAAGTATATCATGTTTTCTGGATAAAAGGTACGGGAGAAACTGTTGCCTTCTGCACACCCACACCAATAGTTCCTGTTCAGTGGAATGAATGTGAGGACAAATGGTGGAGATTTCCTCAAGCCGCAGGTCCAAAACACATGGTCCCTTGGCAGCCTTGCAGTTTTGGTTTGACCTGGCAATGACCTTCCTATGACTTTCTAAAGAGAGAATCCAGTATCCTGGGAGTCTCTGCATACACTAGCACCACCATTCTCTCAGCAGATTGAGTCCCAGAGGCTCACCACCAGACCCTCACTGTTACTACTGAACACCCACCCTTCACCATACACTGCTGAAGGCTTTTATATGGTGTGATTGCATCCCACAGAGTTTCCACTTAGCTGCAAATCCTTCTGCAGATTTGTACATACACTGATCTTTTTCTCTGCAGAACAGCAGGCACTCACCTGCACCCTTAAACCACACTTTTCTGCATAACCTCACCACTAGTTCCTGGTTACCTGAATATCTTGCATGTACTCTGAAGTAAAAGAAGAAAAGTGAATTCATGAAGCCATCACTGTAGCTATGCTGACAGACATAAAAACCATGCACTTTTTGTGAAATACCTTCCTATCCCATATTAAAAATGCAGCTTTTATGGGTGGAGGATTTTTATAAGAAAGTCATTACTATAGACTCTAATGTCATTTGAGGAAAAGCAAAGTCATAACATGATAACTTAAAGCAAAAGGAAGGTAAAGGTTCTAAAGCTGGATAATTTAATGTAAGCCAAAGATAATTTGATAATTTTAGAAACAGATTTGGCTTAAAAAAAATCAAGGTTACAGTAGAAGCATATTCTGCTAAGCAAGATGCGACAGACAAGTTCCTAGATGTCATTAAGAAAACCATTGAGAAGAAAGGCTATCTGCCTGAACATGTTTTTAATGCAGAAGAAATGGCCTTATCCTGGAAAAAAAAAAAGCCACAAAGAACATTTATTAGTGAGAAAGAGAAACAAGTAGCAAGATTTAAGGAAAGAAGAGATCAGCCAACTCTACTGTTTTGTCCAAATGTAGTCATCTTTATGGTAAGTGCTATAATAGCACTAATCTACAAAGCTGCTACTGCCTACAACTTGAAGGGAAAAGATAAACACAAGCTTCCAGTTTTGGGGTTGCATCAGAAGAAAGCATGTATAATGAGAAGACTTTTTCTGGATTGGTTCCATTGATGTACCTGAAGTCAGGAAGTACCTTGCCAGTAAGGGACTGTCTTTTACAGTTCTTTTGATATTGGACAATGCCTCTGGCCAACCAGAAATCCATGAGTTCAATACTAAAGATGTCAAAGAGGTCTATATGCTCTTAAATGCACTGTCTCTAAATCAGCTTCTAGATCAGGGAGTCATGAGGGCCTTTAAGGCTCATGACACATGATACTCTATACAAAGGATTGTCAACACCGTGGAGGTAAAACCTGATAGATAGAACATCATGAAAGTTGGTGGAAAGATTTCACCACTGAGGATGCCATTGTTGTAACAGAAAAAGCTGTGAAAGCCATCAAGAGTGAAACAATAAATCCCTGCTGGAGGAAACTATATTCAGATGTCGTGCATGACTTCACAGGATATATGACATAGCAAATCAAGAAAACCATGAAAGAGATTGTGGATGTGGCAACAAAAATGAGGGGTAAAGGGTTTCAGGATATGGATCTTGGAGAAATTCAAGAGCTAACAGATACCACACCAGAGGAATTAAAGGAATACTACTTGATGGAGATGAGTGCTTCCAAACCAGTGCTAGATCATGAGGAAAAAGACAGAAGAAGCAGCACCAGAAAACCAATTGACATTTGACACAGTGGCAGAGAGATCTGATTATTCAAGACTGCTTGTGATTTCTTTTATGACATAGACATTTCTATGATACCAGAACTGAAACTAAAGCAAATGGTAGAAGAAAGATTTGTACTGCATAAAAATATTTTTAGAAAAGCAAAAGTCAAATAGAAATTATTATGTATTACTGTTAACTTACATCAAGTGTCCCTGCATTTCCTGCCTCCCTTTCAACCTCATTTACCTGTTCCACCTCTGAGATAGCAAGACCAGGACCTCCTTTCTCTCCTCCTCTGCAGCCTACTCAATGGGAAGACAATGAGGATGAAGTTCTTTAAAATGATCCACTTCCACTTAATAAGTAGTTACTATATTTTCACTTCCTTATAATTTTCTTAATAGTATTTTCTTTCTCTGGCTTACTTTGTTGAAAGAAAACAGCATATCATACATATCATACATATATCATACATATAACATACAAAATATGTGTTAATCTGCTGTTTTGCTATTGCTAAGGCTTCCAGTCGACAGTAAGCTATTAATAGTTAAGTTTTGGGGGAATTAAAAGTCATAC